>NC_000021.9:7199527-7327865 GCF_000001405.40 Homo sapiens | reverse complement strand
GATCCTTTCTTTTGATTGAGCAGATTGGAAACCATCCTTTTGTACAATCTGCAAAGGGATATTTTTGAGCCGTTTTATGCCTATGGTGAAAAAGAATTAGCTTCACATGAAAAGTAGACAGAATCATTCCGAGAAACTCCTTTGGGATGTGTGCATTCATCTCACAGGGTTGAATCTTTCTTTTCTTGGAGCAGTTTGAAAACAGTCTTTTTGTAGTATCTGCAGAGAGATATTTGTGTGCAGTTTAAGGCCTATGGTGAAAAAGGAAATATCTTCACATTAAACCAGACGGAAGCATTCTGAGAAACTTATTTTTTATGTGTGCATTCATCACACAGAGATGAATCTTTCTTTTCATTGAGCAGTTTGGAAATAGTCTTTTTATACAAAGTGCAAAGGGATATTTCTGAGCACTTAGAGGCCTATGGTGAAAAAGTAATATCTTCACATATAAACTATACAGAAGCATTCTGAGAAACTTCTTTTTTTATGTGTGCATTCACCTCACAGAGTTGAAACTTTCTTTTCATTGAGCAGTTCAGAAACACTCTTTTTGTAGAATCTGCAAAGGGATATTTGGGATTCCTTTGAGGCCTGTGGTGAAATAGGAAATATACTCACATAAAAACTAGACAGAAGCTTTCTGAGAAACTTCTTCGTGATGTGTGTTTTCACCTCACAGAGTTGAACCTTTCTTTTGATTGAACAGTTTGGAAACAGTCTTTTTGTGGAATTTGCAAATGGATGTTTTGCGTGTTTTGAGGCCTATGGTGAAAAAGTAAATATCTTCACATTAAAACTAGACAGAAGCATTCTGAGAAACTTCTTTGTGACGTGTACATTCATCTCACGTTGTTGAGCCTATCTTTTGATTGAGCAGATTGGAAACAGTCCCTTTGTTGTATCTGCAGAGGGATATTTGTGAGCGGTTTGAGGCCTATGGTGGAAAAGGGAATACCTTCACAGAAAACCTCGGCAAATCCATTGTGAGAAACTTCTTTGAGATGTGTGCATTCATCTCACAGAGTTGAACCTTTCTTTGGATTGAGCAGTTTTCTAAACAGACCTTTTGTAAAATCAACAAAGTAATACTTCTGAGCCCATTGAGGCTTATGGTGAAAAAGGAAATATCTTCACATGAAATCTTAACAGAAGCATTCTGAGAAACTTCTTTGTGATGTGTGCATTCATCTCACAGTGTTGAAACTTTCTTTTGATTGAGCAGTTTGGAAACAGTCTCTTTGTACAATCTGCAAAGGGATATTTCTGAGCCATTTGAGGCCTACTGTGAAAGAGAAATATCTTCATATAAAAACTAGCAAAAGCATTCTGAGAAACTTCTTTGTAATGTGTGCATTCATCACACATAGTTGAAATTTTCTTCTGATTGAGCAGTTTGGAGACAGTCTTTTTGTATAATATGCAGAAGGATATTTGTGAGCCCTTTCAGGCCTATGGTGAAATAGGGAATATCTTCACAAAAAAACTAGACAGAAGCTTTCTGATAAACTTCTTTGTGATGCATGCTTTCATCTAACAGAGTTGAACTTTTCTTTTGATTGAGCATTTTGGAAACCGTCTTTTTGTAGAATCTGAAGATGGATATTTGCAGCATTTCAGGCCTATGGTGAACAAGAAATGTCTTCACATAAAAACTAGACAGAAGCATTCTGTGAAACTTCTTTGTGATGTGTGCATTCATGTCACAGAGTTGAAACTTTCCTTGGATTGAGCAGTTTGGAAAGAGTCCTTTTGTAGAATCTGCAAAGGGATGTTTGTGAGCACATAGAGGGCCTATGGTATAATAGGAAATGTCTTCATATAAAAACTAGACAGAAGCTTTCTGTAAAACTTCTTTGTGTTTTATGCTTTCACCTCACAGAGCTGAACCTCTCTTTTGATTGAGCAGTTTGGAAACACTCTTTTTGTAGAACTTGCAAACGGATATTTGAAGTGCTTTGAGGCCTATTGTGAAAAAGAAAATATCTGCATATAAAAACTAGACAGAAACTTTCTGAGAAACTTCTTTGTGATGTGTACTTTCATCTCACAGATTTGAACCTTGCTTTTCATTGAGCAGTTTGGCAACAAGTCATTTTGTAGAATCTGCAAAGGGATATTTGTGAGTGGTTTGAGGCCTATGGTGAAAAAGTAAATATCTTCACCTAAAACCTAGACAGAAGCATTTTGAGAAAACTCTTTGTGATGTTTGCATTCATCTCACTGAGTTGTACTTTTCTGTTCATTGAGCAGTGTGGAAACATACTTTTTGTGCAATCTGTAAAGGAATATTTGTTTGCGGTTTGAGACCTATGGTGAAAAAGTAATATCTTCACATAAAAACTAGACAGAAGCATTCTGAGAAACTAATTTTTTATGTGTGCATTGTTCTCACAGAGTTGAACCTTTCTTTTGATGAAGCAGTTCGGAAACAGTTTTTTGTAATATCTGAATAGGGATATTTGTGATCCCTTTGAGGCCAAAGGTGAAATAGGAAATATCTTCACATAAAAACGAGATATAAACTTTCTGAGAAACTTCTTTGTGACGTGGGCTTTCATCTCACAGATTTGAACCTTTATTTTGATTGAGCAGTTTGGAAAGAGTCTTTTTATAGAATCTGCAAATGTATATTTGGAGCATTTTAAGGCCTAGAGTGAAAAAGGAAATATCCTCACATAAAAACAACACAGTAGCT
Organism: Homo sapiens; assembly: GCF_000001405.40. Taxonomy (NCBI): domain Eukaryota; kingdom Metazoa; phylum Chordata; class Mammalia; order Primates; family Hominidae; genus Homo; species Homo sapiens. Next base: position 7,325,167 of record NC_000021.9, on the reverse strand, counting down.
TTTTGAGAAAACTCTTTGTGACATTTCCATTCATCTCTAAGAGTTGACCATTTCTTTTCATTGAGCAGTTTGGAAACAGTCTTTTTGTACAAAATGCAAAGGGATATTTCTGAGCAGTTTGAGGCCAATGGTGAAAAATAAATATCTTCACATGAAAACTAGACAGAAGCATTTTGAGAAACTTCTTTGTGATGTGTGCATTCTTCTCAAAGAGTTGAAACTTTCTTTTGATTTAGCAATTTGGAGAAAGTCTCTTGGTAGTATAAGTGGAGTTATATTTGTGAGCGGTTTAAGGCCTATGGTGCAAAAGGAAATACTTTCACATGAAATGTAGACAGAAGCTTTCTGAGAAACTTTGTGATGTGTGTTTTCGTCTCACAGAGTTGAGCCTTTCTTTTGATTGACCAGTTTGGAAACACTGTTTTTGTAGAATCTGCAAATGGATATTTGGAGCAATTTGAGAACTATGGTGAAAAAGGAAATATCTTCACATAAAAACTAGACAGAAGAATTCTGAGAAAATTCTTTGTGATGAGTGCATTCATCTCACAGAGTTGAAACTTTCTATATGGACCAGTTTGGAAACAGTCTTTTTGTAGTATCTGCAGAGGGATATTTTTGAGTGGTTTAAAGACTGTGGTGAAAAAGGAATTATCTTCACATAATAACCAGACAGAAGCATTCCGAGAAACTTCTTTGTGATGTGTGCATTCATCTCACAATGTTGAACGTTTCTTTTGATTGAGCAGTTTGGAAACAGAACTTTTGTAGAATCTGCAAAGGGATATTTGTGAGCCCACTGATTCCTATGGCAAAATAGGAATTATCTTGAGATAAAAACTAGACAGAAGATTTCTGAGAAACTTCTTTGTGATGTGTGCTTTCATCTCACAGAGTTGAACATTTCTTTTGATTGAGCAGTTTGTAAACAGTCTTTTTGTATAATCTGCAAATGGATATTTGGAGTGCTTTGTGGCCTAATGTGAAAATGGAAATATCTTCACATAAAAACTAGACAGAAGAATTCTGAGAAAATTCTTTGTGATGTATGCATTCACCTCAGAGAGGTGAACTTTTCTTTTGATGGAGCAGTTTGGAAACAGTCTTTTTATAGTATCTGCAGAAGGATATTTGTGAGCGGTTTAAGGCCTATGGTGAAAAAGGAAATATCTTCACATAAAAACGAGACAGAAGCTTTCTGAGAAACTTCTTTGTGATGTGCGCATTCATCTAACAGTGTTGAAACTTTATTTTGTTTGAGCAGTTTAGAAACAGTCTTTTTCTGCAATCTGCAAAGGCATATTTCTGAGCCATTTGAGGTCTATGGTGAAAAAAGAAATATCTTCACATTTAAAATAGACAGAAGAATTCTGAGGAACTTCTTTGTGATGTCTCCATTCATCTGACAGAGTTGAAGGTTTCTTTTAATTCAGCACTTTGGAAACCATATTTTTGTAGAATCTGCAAAGGGATATTTTTGAGACATTTGAAGCCTATAGTGAAATAGTAAATATCTTCACATAAAAACTAGACAGGAGAATTCTGAGAAACTTCATTCTGATGTGTGCATTCACCTCACAGAATTTAACCTTTATTTTGACTGAGCAGTATGGAAATGGTCGTCTTTTAGAATCTGGAAAGGTATATTTCTTAGCACTTTGAGGCCTGTGGTGAAACTGGAAATATCTTCACATGAAAACTAGACCAAAGCTTTCTGAGAAAGTTCTTTGAGATGTGTGCTTTCATCTCACAGAGTTAAAACTTTCTTTTGATTCAGCAGTTTGGAAACACTCTTTTAGTGAAATCTGTAAATGGATATTCAGAGCACTTTGAGGCCAATGGTGACAAAGGAAATATCTTCACGTAAAAACTAAACAGAAGTTTTCTGAGAAACTACTTTTTGATGTGTCCATTAATCTAACAGAGTTGAAACTTTCTTTTTATTTAGCACTTTGGATACGTATTTTTGTAGAATCTGCAAAAAATATTTGTGAGCCCTTTATTGCCTATGGTGAAATAGGAATTTTCTTCACATATAAACTAGACAGAAGCACTCTGAGAAACTTCTTTGTGATGTGTGCATTCATCTCACATAGTTGAAACTGTCTTTGGATTGAGTAGTTTGGAAACAGTCCTCTTGTAGAATCTGCAAAGGGATATTTCTGAGCCCATTGAGTACTATGGTGCAATGTGAAATATCTTCACATAAAAACTAGACAGAAGCTTTCTAAGAATCTTCTTTGTGATGTGTGCTTTCATATCACAGAATTGAAACTTTCTTTTGATTGAGGAGTTTGGAAACACTCTTTTTCTAAAATCTGCAAATGGATATTTGGAGAGCTTTTGAGGCCCATGGTGAAAAACGAAATATCTTCACATAAAAACTAAACAGAAGTTTTCTGAGAAACTTCCTTGTGATGTGTGCATTCATCTCACAGAGTTGAACATTTCTTTTGATTGAGCAGGTTGGAAAGAGGCTTATTGTACAATCTGCAAAGGGATAATTCTGATCCGTTTGAGGCCTATGGTGAAAGAGAAATATCTTCACATAAAAACTAGACAGAATCATTCCAAGAAATTTCTTTGTGATGTGCCCATTCATCTCACAGAGTTGAACCTTTCTTTTGATTGAGCAGTTTGGACACAGACTTTTTGTAAAACCTTCAAAGGGATATCTCTGAGCCCTTTATGACCTCAGGTGAAATAGGAAGTATCTTCACATACATACTAGAGAGAAGCTGTCTGAGTAACATTTTTGTGATGTGTGCTTTCATCTCAGAGAGGTAAAAATTTCTTTTGATTGATCAGTTTGGAAACAGTCTTTTTATAGAATCTGCAAATGGATATTTGGATTGCTTTGAGGCCTATGTTGAGAAAGGTAATATCTTCACATAAAAACAAGACAGAAGATTTCTGAGAAACTCCTCTTTTATGTGTGCATTCATCTCACCGGTTTGAACCTTTCTTTTGATTGAGCAGTTTGGAAACAGTCTTTTTGTACAATCTACAAAGGGATAATTCTGAACGGTTTGATGCCTATGGTGAAAAAGAAATATCTTCACATAAAAACTAGACAGAAGCATTATGATAAACTAATTAATATGTGTGCATTCGTCTCACAGAATTGAACCTTTCTTTTCATTTAGCAGTCCGAAAACTGTCTTTTTGTAGAGTCTGCAAAGGGATATTTGTGAGATCTTTGAGGCCTATGGTGATATAGGAAATATCTTCACAAAAAAAGTAGACAGAAGCATTATGGGAAACTTCTTCATGATGTGTGCTTTCTTCTCACAGATTTGAATCTTTTTTTTAATTGAACAGTTTGGAAACTCTCTTTTTGTAGAGTTTGCAAAAGGATATTTGGATTGCTTTGAGGCCTATGGTGAAAAAGGAAATATTTTCACTTAAAAACTAAACAGAAGCTTTCTGAAAAACTTCTCTGTGATGTGAGTATTCATGTCACAGTGTTGAACCTTTGTTTTCATTGAGCAGTTTGGAAACCATCTTTTTGTACAATCTACAAAGGGATATTTCTGAGAAGTTTGAGGCCTACGGTGAAAAACAAATATCTTAACACAAAAACTAGACAGAGGCATTCTGAGAAACTTATTATTCATGTGTGCATTCATCTCCCAGAGTTGAACCTTTCTCTTCATTGAGAAATTCAGAAACAGTCTTTTTGTAGAATTTGGAAGAGGATATATGTGAGCCCACTGAGGCCCATGGTGAAATGGGAAATATCTTCAAAGGAAAACTAGACAGAAGCATTTTGAGAAACTTCTTTGTGATGTTTGCATTCCTCTCACAGAGTTGAAACTTTGTTTTGATTGAGCAGTTTGGAAAAACTCTTTTTGAAGTATCTGCAAAAGGATATTTGGAGCACTTTGTGGCTTGTGGTGAAAAACTAAATATCTTCACATAAAATCTAGTGAGAAACTTTCTGAAGAACTTCTTTGTGATGTATGCTTTCATCTCACAGAGTTGAAAATTTCTTTTGATTGAGCAGTTTGGAAAGAGTATTTTGTAGAATCTGCAAATTGATAATTGGATTGCTTTGAGGCCTATCATTAGAAGGGAAATATCTTCACATAAAAACTAGACAGAAGATTTCTGAGAAACTTCTTTGTGACGTGTGCTTTCATCTCACAGAGTTGAACTGTTCTTTTGATTGAGCAGTTAGGAAGCAGTCTTTATCTACAATCTGCAAAGGGATATTTCTGAGGGGTTTGAGGCCTATGGTGAAAAAGAAATATCTTCACATAAAAACTAGACAGAAGTATTCTGAGAAACTTCTTTGTGATGTGTGCTTTCATCTAACAGGTTTGAAACTTTCTTTTGATTGAGCAGTTTGGAAACAGTCTTTTTGTAGTCTACAAAGGGATATTTCTGAACGGTTTGGTGCCTATAGTGAAAAAGGAATATCTTCACATAAAAACTAAACAGAAGAATTGTGAGAAACTTCTTTTTTATGTGTGCATTCGTCTCACAGAGTTGAACCTTTCTTTGCATGGAGCAGTTTGAAACAGTCTTTTTGTAGAGTCTGCAAAGGGATATTTGTGAGCTCTTTGAGGCCTATGGTGAAATATGAAATATCTTCACATAAAAACCAGACAGAAGCATTATGAGGAACTTCTTTGTGATGTGTGGTTTCATCTCACAGAGATGAAGGATTCCTTTGATTGAACAGTTTTCAAGCAGCCTTTTTGTAGTATCTGCAGAGGGATATTTGGGAGCCGTTTAAGGCCTATGGTGAAAAAGGAAATATCTTCACATCAAAACTAGACAGAAGTATTCTGAGAAACTTCTTTATGATGTGTGCATTCATCTCACAGAGTTGAACTTTTTTTGTGATTGAGCCGTTTGGAAACAGTCTTTTTGTGTAATCTGAAAATGGATATTTGGAGCACTTTGAGGCCTATTGTGAAGAAGGAATTATCTTCACATAAAAACTAGACAGAAACTTTCTGAGAAACTTCTTTTTGATGTTTGCATTCATCTCACAGAGTTGAACCTTTCTTTGCATTTGACAGTTTGGAAACAGTCTTTTAGTACAATATGCAAAGGGATATTTCTGAACCATTTGAGGCCTATGGTGAAAAATAACTATGTCAGATAAAAACTAGACAGAAGCATTCTGAGAAACTTCTTTTTCATGTGTGCACTTATCTCACAGAGTTGAACCTGTCTTTTCATTGAGCAATTTGGAAACAGTCTTTTTGTACAATCTGCAAAGGGATATTTCTTAGCCATTTGAGGCCTATGGTGAAAAAGACATATCTTCACATAAAAACTAGGCAGAAGCCTTCTGAGAAACTTCTTTGTGATGTGTCCATTCGTCTCACATAGTTGAACCTTTGTTTTTGATTGAGCTGTTTGCAAACTGTCTTTTTGTAGAGTCTGCAAAGGGATATTTGTGAGTCATTTATGGCCTACAGTGAAACAGGAAATATCTTCACATAAAACTAAACAAACATTCTGAGAAACTTATTTGTGATGTGTGCTTTCATCTCACAGAGTTGAAACTTTCTTTTGATTGAGCAGTTTGGAAAGAGGCCTTTTGTAGTATCTGAAAAGAGACGTTTTTGAGCCCATTGAGGCCTATGGTGAAAGAGGAAATGTCTTCACATATAAGCTAGACAAAAACTTTCTGAGAAAATTCTTTGTGATATGTGCTTTCATCTCACAGAGTAGAATCTTTCTTTTCATTGAGCAGTTTGGAAACAGTCTTTTTGTAACATCTGCATAGGGATATTTCTGAGCGGTTTGAGGCCTATGGTGACAAAGAAATATCTTCACATAAAAACTAGACAGAAGCATTCTGAGAAACTTCTTTTTTTAGGTGTGAATTCATCTCACAGAGTTGAAACTTACTTTTCATTGAGCAATTCTGTAACAGTGTTTTTGTAGAATCTGCAAAAGGATATCTGTGAGCCCTTTGAGGCCTATGGTGTAACAGGAAATACCTTCATTTAAAAACTAGACAGAAGCATTCTGAGTAACTTCTTTGTGATTTGTGCTTTCATCTCACAGAGATGAAACTTTCCTTTGATTGAGCAGTTTGGAGAAACTCTTTTTGTACAATCATCTGCAAAAGATATTTGGTGCACTTTGTGGACTATGGTGAAAAAGGAAATATCTTCACATAAAAACTAAAAAGAAACTTTCTGAGAAACTTCTTTGTGATGTGCACTTTATTTTATTTTATTTTATTTTATTATTATTATACTTTAAGTTTTAGGGTACATGTGCACAATGTGCAGGTTAGTTACATATGTATACATGTGCCACGCTGGTGTCCTGCACCCATTAACTCATCATTTAGCATTAGATATATCTCCTAATGCTATCCCTCCCCCCTCCCCCCACCCCACAACAGTCCCCAGAGTGTGATGTTCCCCTTCCTGTGTCCATGTGTTCTCATTGTTCAAATCTCACCTATGAGTGAGAACACGTGGTGTTTGGTTTTTTGTCCTTGTGATAGTTTACTGAGAATGATGATTTCCAATTTCATTCATGTCCCTACAAAGGACATTAACTCATCATTTTTTATTGCTCCATAGTATTCCATGTGTATATGTGCCACATTTTCTTAATCCAGTCTATCATTGTTGGACATTTGGGTTGGTTCCAAGTCTTTGCTATTGTGAATAGTGCCTCAATAAACATACACGTTCATGTGTCTTTATAGCAGCATGAAACCAATGAGAACAAAGACACAACATACCAGAATCTCTGGGACACATTCAAAGCAGTGTTTAGAGGGAAATTTTTAGCACTAAATGCCCACAAGAGAAAGCAGAAAAGATCCAAAATTGACATCCTAACATCACAGTTAAAAGAACTAGAAAAGCAAGAGCAAACACATTCAAAAGCTAGCAGAAGGCAAGAAATAACTAAAATCAGAGCAGAACTGAAAGAAATAGAGACACAAAAAAACCCTTCAAAAAATTAATGAATCCAGGAGCTGGTTTTTTGAAAGGATCAACAAAATTGATAGACCACTAGCAAGACTAATAAAGAAGAAAAAAGAGAAGAACCAAATAGATGCAATAAAAAATGATAAGGAGGATATGACCACCGTCCCCACAGAAATTCAAACTACCATCAGAGAATACTACAAACCCCTCTATGCAAATAAACTAGAAAATCTAGAAGAAATGGATAAATTCTTTGACATATACACCCTCTCAAGACTAAACCAGGAAGAAGTTGGATTTCTAAATAGACCAATAACAGGCTCTGAAGTTGTGGCCATAATCAATAGCTTACCAACCAAAAAGAGTCCAGGATCAGATGGATTCACAGCCGAATTCTACCAGAGTTACAAGGAGGAACTGGTACCATTCCTTCTGAAACTATTCCAATCAATAGAAAAAGAGGGAATCCTCCCTAACTCATTTTATGAAGCCAGCACCATCCTGATAACAAAGCCGGGCAGAGACACAACCAAAAAAGAGAATTTTAGACCAATATCCTTGATGAACACTGATGCAAAAATCCTCAATAAAATACTGGCAAACCGAATCCAGCAGCACATCAAGAAGCTTATCCACGATGATCAAGTGGGCTTCATCCCTGGGATGCAAAGCTGGTTCAATATACGCAAATCAATAAATGTAATCCAGCATATAAACAGAACCAAAGACAAAAACCACATGATTATCCCAATAGATGCAGAAAAGGCCTTTACAAAATTCAACAGCCCCTCATGTTAAAAACTCTCAATAAATTAGGTATTGATGGGACGTATCTCAAAATAATAAGAGCTATCTGAGAAACTTCCTTGTGATGTGTGCATTCATCTCACAGAGTTGAGCCTTTCTTTTGATTGGGCAGTTTGGAAAAAGTCTTTTTGTAGAATCTGCAAAGTGATATGTTTCAGTGGTTTGAATCCAATGGTGAAAAAGGAAATATCAAAAAATAAAATGTAGACAGTAGCTTTCTGAAGAACTTCTTTGTGATGTGTGCATTCATCTCACAGGGTTGAAACTTCTTTTGATTGACCAGTTTGGAAACAGTCTTTTCATAGAAAATGCAAAGTGATATTTGTGAATGCTTTGAGGCTTATGGTGAAAAAGGAAATATCTTCACATAAAAACTAGACTCATGTTTTCTGGGAAACTTCTTTGTAATGGGTGTATGCATCTCAAAGACTTGAATCTTTCTTTTGATTGAGCAGTTTGTAAAAAGTCTTTTTGGAGAATCTGCAAAGGGATGTTTTTGAATGGTTTGAGGCATGTGATGAAAAAGGAAATATCTTCATATAAAAACTAGACAGAAACATTCTGAGAAACCACTTTGTGATGCATGCATTCATCTCACAGAGTTGAATTTTCTTTCATTGAGCAGATTGGAAACAGTCTTTTTGTAGAATATGCAAAGTGATATTTGTGAGCTTTCTGAGGCCTATTGTGAAAAAGGAAATATCCACAAATAAAATCTAGACAGAAGCCTTCTGAGAAAGTTCGTTGTGATGTCTGCATTCATCACAAAAAGTTGAACCTTTCTTTTGATTGAGCAGTTTGGAAACAGTCTTTTCATAGAATCTGCAAAGGAAAATTTGGGAACGCTTTGAGGTTTATGGTGAAAAAGAAGTATCTTCACATAAAAACTAGACAGAAACGTTCTGAGAAACTTCTTTTTGATGTGTGCATTCATCTCACACAGCTGAAATTTCATTTGATTGAGCAGTTTGGAAATAGTCCTTTTGTAGAACCTGCAAAGGGTTATTTATGAGCAGTTTAAGGCCTATGGTGAAAAAGGGAGTATCGACAAATAAAAACTAGACAGAAACGTTCTGAAAAACTTCCCTGTGATGTGTGCATTCATCTCACAGAGTAGAAACTTTCTTTGATTGAGCCGTTTGGAAACAGTCTTTTTGTAGAATCTGAAAAGGGTTATATATAGGCGGTTTCAGGTCTATGGTGAAAACGGAAATATCTTCACATAAAAACTAGACAGAAGCTTTCTGAGAAAATTCTTTGAGATGTGCACATTCATCTCACAGATTTGAAGTGTTCTTTTCCTTGACCAGTTTGGATAGAGTCTTTTTGTAGAATCTGCTTTGTGATATTTGTGAGCCCTTTGAAGCCTATGGTGAAAAAAGTAATATCTTCACACAAAAACTAGACAGAAGCTTTCTGAGAAACTTCGTTGTGATGTGTGCATTCATCCCAAAAGTTGAACCTGTCTTTGGATTGAGCAGTTTGGAAACAGTCCTTTGTAGAATGTACAAAGGGATATTTGGGATCCCTTTTTGGTCTATGGTGAAAAAGGAAATGTCTTCAGATAAAAACTAGACAGAAGCATTCTGAGAAACTTATTTTTGATGTGTGCATTCTTCTCACAGAGTTAAACCTTTCTTTAGATAGAGCAGGTTGGAAAATGTCTTTTTGTAGAATCTGCAAAGTGATAATTTGAATGCTTTGAGACTTATGGTGAAAAAGGAAATATCTTCACATAAAAACTGGACGGAAGCTTTCTGAGAAACTTCTTTGTGATGTGTGCATTCATCTCAAAGAGTTGAAGCTTTGTTTCAGTTGAGCAGTTTGGTAACAGTCTTTTTTTAAAATCTGTAAAGGGACATTTGTGAGCACTTTGAGGCCTATATTGAAAAAGGAAACATCTTCAAATAAAAACTAGACAGAAGCTTTCTGAGAAACTTCTTTATGATGTGTGCATTCACCTCACAGAGATGAAGCTTTCTTTTGATTGAGTAGTTTGGAAACAGTCTTCTTGTAGAATCTGCAAAGAGTTATTCATGAGCGATTTGAGGCCTATGGTGAAAAAGGGAGTATCAACAAATAAAACTAGACAGAAACTTTTTGAGAAACTTCTCTGTGATGTGTGCATTCATCTCACAGAGTGGAAGCTTTCTTTGATTGAGCAGTTTGGAAATAGTCTTTTTGTAGAATCTGCAAAGGGATATATGTAGGCCTTTTGAGGTCTATGGTGAAAACGGAAATATCTTCACAAAAACTAACTGCTCAATGGGAAGAAATTTTTACTTCTCTGTGATAAATGCACATGTCACAAATGAGTTACTCAGAAAACTTCTTTCTACTTTTAATGTGAATATATTTCCTTTTTCACCATAAGCCTCAATGCACTCACAGATATCCCTTTGCAGATTCTACAAAAAGATTGTTTCCAAACTGCTCAATAAACAGAATGGTTCAACCCTGTGAGACGAATGTGCACATCACAAAGAAGTTTCTCAGAAAACCTCCTTCTCAGTTTTATGTGAAGATGTTTCCTTTTTGAACATAGGCCTCAATGCACTCCCAAATATACCTTTGCAGAATCTACAAAAAGACTGTTTCCAAACTGCTCAATCAAAAGAAAGTTTCAACTCTGTTAGATGAATGCACACATCAGAAAGTAGTTTCTCAGCAAGCTTCTCACTAGTTTTTATGTGAAGATAGTTCCTTTTTCAACATGGGTCTCAAAGCTCTCAAAAATACCCCTTTGCAGACTCTAGAATAACAGAGTTTACAAACTGCTCAATGAAAAGAAATGTTTACCTCTGTGAGATGAGTACACATATCTTAAAGGAGCTTCTCAGAATGCTTCTTTCTAGTTTTTATGTTAGATATTTCCTTTTCCACCATAGGCCTCAACTTACTCCTAAATATCCCTTTGCAGATTGTACAAAAAGCTGTTTCCAGACTGCTCAATCAAAACAAATGTTAAACTCTATGAGATAAATGCACACATCACAAAAAGTTTCTCAGAAAACTTTTGTCTAGTTTTTATGTGAAGATATTTCCTTATTCACCATAGGCCTCAAAGCGCTACAAATATCCCTCTGCAGATTCTACAAAAAGACTGTTTGCAAACTGTTCAATCCAAAGAATGTTTCAACTCAGTGTGATGAATTCACACATCCAAAGAAGTTTCTCAGAAACTTTCTTTATGGTTTTTCCCTGAAGATATTTCCTTTTTCAACACAGACCTCAAAGCCCTCACAAATATCCCTTTGCAGATTCTACAAAAAGACTGTTTCCAAACTGCTCAATAAAAAGAATTATTGAACACTGTCAGATGAATGCACACAGCTCAAAGAAGTTTCTCAGAATCCTTCAGTCTAGTTTTTATGTGAATATATTTCCTTTTTCACGATAGGCCTCAAAGTGCTCCAAATATCCGTTTGCAGAGTCTACAAAAAGACTGTTTCCAAACGGCTCAATCAAAACAAAGGTTCAACTCTGTGTGATGAATGCACACATCATGAAGAAGTTTCTTAGAATGCCTCTGTCTAGTTTTTCACCATAGGCCTCAAAGTGCTCACAAATATCCCTTTACAGATTCTACAAAAATACTTCTTCCAAATTGCTCAATCAAAAGAAAGGTTCAACTCTGTGAGTTGTATGCACACCACAAAGAGGTTTCTCAGAAAGCTTCTCTCTAGTTTTTATGTGAAGATATTTCCTTTTTCACCATAGGCCTCAAAGCATTCACAAATATCCCTTTGCAGATTCTACAAAAAGACTCTCTACACATGGCTCAATCAAAAGAATGTTTCAACTCTGTGAGGTGAATGCTCACATCACGAGGATGTTTCTCAGAAAGCTTCTGTGTAGTTTTTATGTGAAGATATTTCCTTTTTCACCATACACCTCAAAGGGCTCACAAATATCCCTTTGCAGGTCTTACAAGAAAAGAGTTTCCAATCTTCTCAATGAAAAGAAACAGACACATCTGGGAGATGAATGCACATATCACAAAGCAGTTTCTGAGAAACATTCTGTCTAGTTTTTATGTGAAGGTATCTCCTTTTCCACCACAGGATGCAAAGCACTCAAAATTGTCCTTTTGCAGATTCTACAAAAAGATTGTTTCCACACTGCTCATCAAGAGAAAGGTTCAACTCTGTGAGATGAATGCACACGTCAAAAAGTAGTTTCTCAGAAAGCTTCTATTAAGTTTTTAAGTGAATGTTTCCTTTTTCCCCAGGAGCCTCAAGGTGCTCACAAGTATCCACTGGAAGAATATTTAAAAAGACTGTTTCCAAACTGCTCAATCAAAAGAAAGGTTGAACTGTGTGAGATGAACGCACACATCACAAAGAAGTTTCTCAGAAACCTTCTTTATAGTTTTTCCGTGAAGATATTTCCTTTTTCACCATAGGCCTCAAGCCCTCACAAATATCTCTTTGCAGATTCTACAAAAAGATTGTTCCAAACCGCTCAATAAAAAGAATTATTGAACTTTGTGAGATGAATGGACACATCTCAGAGAAGTTTCTCAGAAACTTTCAGTCTGGTTTTTATGTGAATATATTTCCTTTTTCACCATAGGCCTCAAAGTGCTCCAAATATCCATTTGCAGAGTCTACAAAAAGACTGTTTCCAAATGGCTCAATGAAAAGAAAGTTTCTACTCTGTGAGATGAATGCACACATCACTAAGAAGTTTCGCAGGAGGCTTCTGTCTAATTTTTATATGAAGACATTTCCTTTTTCACCATAGGCCTCCATCTGCTCAAAAATATCCCTTAGCAGATTCTACAAGAACAGAATTTCCAGACTGATCAAACAAAATAAACGTTTTTCTCTGTGAGATGAATGCACACATCACAAAACTTTTTCTCAGAAACGTTCTTTATACTTTTTATGTGATGATATTTCTTTTTTCTCCCTAGGACTCAAAGGGCTCAAAAATATCCTTTTGCAGATTCTACAAAAAGATTGTTTCCAAAGTGCTCAATCAAAAGAATAGTTCAACTCCATGAGATGAATGCATACATTACAAAGAAGTTTCTCAGAAACCTTCTTTATAGTTTTTATGTGAAGATATTTCCTTTTTCAACACAGGCCTCAAATTGCTCAGCAATATCCCTTTGTAGATTCTGCAAAAAGACTGCTTCCCAACTGCTCAATCAAATAAATGGTTGAACTCTGTGAGATGGATGCACACATCTCAAAGAGGTTTCTCAGAAATCTTCTGTCCATTTTTTATGTGAAGATATTTCCTTTTTCACCATAGCACTCGAAGTCGTGACAAATATCCCTTGCAGATTCTACAAAAATACTGTTTCCAGACTGCTGAATCAAAAGAATGGTTCAATTCTGTGAGATGATTGCACACATTACAAAGAAGCCACTAAGAAAGCTTCTGTCTAGTTTTTATGTGAAGATATCTCCTTTTTCATCATAGGCCTCAAAGCACTCACAAATATCCCTTTGCAGATACTACAAGAACAGAGTTTCCAGACTGATCAAAGAAAATAAACGTTTACCTCTCTGAGATCAATGCACACACCACAAAGCTGTTTCTAAGAAACCTTCTTTATGCCTTTTATATAAATATATTTCCTTTTTCAACATTGGCCTCAAAGCTCTCATAAATTTCCCTTTGCAGATTCCACAAAAGATGGTTTCCATACTGATCAATCAAAAGTAAGTTTCAACTTTGTGAGATGAATGCCCACATCACAAAGAGGTTTCTCAGAAAACCTCTCTCTAATTTTTATGTGAAGATATTTCCTTTTTCACCATAGGCCTCAAAATACTCACAAATATCCCTTTGCAGAATCTACAAGAACAGTTTCCAGACAGATCAGAGAAAAGAAACGTTTACTTTTGTGAGATGAATGCATACATCACAAAGCTGTTTCTGAGAAACCTTGTTTATACTTTTTATGTGAATACATTTCCTTTTTCACCATAGGACTCAAAGCACTCATAAATATCCCTTTGCAGATTCTACAAAAAGAGTGTTTCCAAACTGTTCAATCAAAAGAATGGTTGAACTCTACGAGATGAATGCACACATCATAAAGAAGTTTCTCGGAAAGCTTCTGTCTAGTTTTTATGTGAAGATATTTCCTATTTCATCATAGGCCTCATACGACTCAAAAATATGCCTTTACAGATTCTACAAAAATACTGTTTCCAAATTGCTCAATCCAAAGAAAGTTTCAAATCTGTGAGATGAATGCACACATCACAAGGAGGTTTCTCAGAAAGCTTCTCTCTAGTTTTCATGTGAAAATATTTCGTTTTCACCATAGGCTTCAAAGCATCACAAATATTCCTTTGCAGATTCTACCAAAATACTGTTTACAAACTGCCCAACCAAAAGAATGTTTCAACTCTGTGAGACAAATTCTCGCATCTCCAAGATGTTTCACAGAAAGCCTCCGTCTAGTTTTTATGTGAAGATAATTCCTTTTTTACCATAGGCCTCAAAGTGCTAACAAATATCCCTTTGCAGATTTTACAAGAACAGAATTTCCAATCTGTTCAATGAAAAGAAATGGTTACTTCTGTGAGATGAAATCACACATCACAAGGCAGTTTCTCAGAAATATTCTGTCTAGTTTTTATTTAAAAATAATTCCTTTTCCAACATAGGACACAAAACACTAACTAATAACCCTTTGGAAATTCTACCAAATACTGCTTCCAAAATGCTCATCAAAAGAAAGGTTCACCTCTGTGGGATGAATGCACATATCAAAAAGATGGTTCTCAGAAAGCTTCTATCTTGTTTTTATGTGAAAGTGTTTCCTTTTTCACCATGGGCCTCAAAGTGCTCAAAAATATACCTTTGCAGATGCTAAAAAAGACTGTTTCCAAACCGCTGAGTCAAAGGAGTGGTTCAACTCTGTGAGATGAATGCACACATCATAAAGAAGTTTCTCACAAACCTTCTTTATAGTTTTTATGTGAAGATATTTCCTTTTAACCATAGACCTCTAAGTGCTCACAAATATCCCTTTGCAGATTCTACAAAAAGACGGTTTCCCAACTGCTCGATCAAAAGAATTGTTGAACTCTGTGAGATGAATACATACATCACAAAGCAGTTTCTCAGAAATCTTTAGTCTAGTTTTTATGTGAAGATACTTTCTCTTTCACCATAGGCCTCAAAGTGATCAGAAATTTCCCTTTACGGATTCCACAAAAAGACGTTTCCAAACTGCTTAATCAAAAGAAAGTTTCAATTCTGTGAGATGAATGCACACATCACCAAGAAGTTTCACAGTAGGCCTCTGTCTAGTTTTTATGTGAAGACAATATCTTTTTCACCATAGGGGTCTAGGCACTCAAAAATATCCCTTAGCAGATCCTACAAGAACAGAGATACCCAACTGATCAAAGAAAAGAATTGTTTACCTCTGCAAGATGAATGCAGACATCAAAAAACAGTTTCTCAGAAACCTTCTTTATAGTTTTCTGTGAAGATACTTCTTTTCCTGCATAGGCCTCAAAGTGCTCACAAATATCCGTTTGCAGATTCTTCAAAAAGACTGTTTCCAAACGGCTGAATTAAAAGAGACGCGCAAATCTGTGAGATGAATGCACATATCACAAAGAAGTATCTCAGAAACTTTCTTTATACTTTGAATGTGAAGATATTTCCTTTGTTACAATAGGCCTCAAAGTGCTCAAAACTACCCCCTTTGAGATTGTACAAGAACAGACTTTCCAGACTGATAGGAGAAAAGAAACACTTACCTCTGTGAGATGAATGCACACATCACAATGTTGTTTTTAGAAAACCTGCTTTATAGTTCTTATGTGAAGATATGACCTTTTCCACCATAGGATTCACAGCGCTCTAAATATCCAATGGCAGACTCTACAAAAAGAGTGTTTCCAAACTGCTCAACAAAAAGAAAGTCCAACTCTGTGAGATGAATGCACACAACACAAAGAAGTTTCTCAGAATGCTTCTGTCTACTTTTCATGTGAAGATATTTCCTTTTCCACCATAGGCGTCAAAGCGCTCTAAATATCCACTTGCAGATTCTACAAAAAGAGTGTTTCAAAACTGCTCAACCAAAAGAAAAGTTCAACTCTGCGAGCTGAAAGCACACATCACAAAGAAGTTTCTCAAAATGATTCCCTGTAGTTTTTATGTGAAGATATTTCCTTTTCCACAAGAGGCTGCAAAGCGATCCAAATATCCAATTGCAGATCCTACAAAAAGTGTGTTTCAGAACTGCTCAATCAAAATAAAGGTTCAACTCTGTGAGCTGAATACACACATCACAAAGAAGTTTCTCAGAATGCTTCTGGCTAGTTTTTATGGGAAGATATATTCTTTTCCACCATATGCCTCAAAGTGATCCAAATATCCACTTACAGATTATACAAAAAGAGTGTTTCAAAACTGCTCAATCAAAAGAATGGTTTAACTCTGTGAGATGAGTGCACACATCACAAAGAAGTTTCTCCGAATGCTTCTGTCTAATTTTTATGTGCAGATATTTCCTTTTCCACTATAGGCCTCAAAGCTGTCCAAATACAAATTTGAAGATGGTACGAAAAGAATGTATCCTAACTGCTCAATAAAAAGACTGTTCAACTCGGTGAGTTGAATGCACACATCACAAAAAAGTTTCTCAGAATGCTTCTGTCTAGTTTTTATGTGAAGATATTTCCTTTTCCACCATAGGCCTCAAAGCGCTCTAAATATCCAACTGCTGATTCTACAAAAAGAGTGTTTCAAAACTGCTCAATCAAAAGAAATGTTCAACTCTGTGAGTTGAATGTGCACATCACAAAGAAGTATCTTAGAATGATTCTGTCTAGTTCTTATGTGAAGATATTTCCTTTTGTATCATGGCCTCAAAGTGCTCCACATATCCACTTGCAGATTCTGCAAAAAGAGTGTTTCAAAACTGCTCAATCAAAAGAAAGGTTCAACTCTGTGAGATGAATGCACACATCACGAAGAAGTTTCTCAGAATGCTTCTGTCTAGTTTATGTGAAGACATTACCTTTTCCAACAGAGGCCACAAAGCGCTCAAAATATTCACTTGCAGATTCTGCAAAAAGAGTGTTTCAAAACTGCTCAATCAAAAGAAAGGTTCAACTCTGTGAGTTGAATGCACACAGCACAAAGAACTTTGTCAGAATGCTTCTCTGGAGTTTTTATGTGAAGATATTTGCTTTTCCACCATAAGCATCAAAGTGCTCCAAATATCAGCTTGCACACTCTATAAAAAGAGTGTTTCAAAACTGCTCAATCAAAAGAAAGGTGCAGCTCTGTGAGATGAATGCACACATCATAAATAATTTTCTCAGTATGCTTCTGTCTGGTTTTTATGTGAAGACATTTCCTTTTCCACAATAGGCCTCAAAGCACTCCAAATATCCACTTGCAGATTCTACACAAAGAGTGTTTCAAAACTGCTCAGTCAAAAGAATGGATCAAGACAGTGATATGAATGCACACACCACAAAGAAGTTTCTCAGAATGCTTCTGTCTAGTTTTTAGGTGAAGATATTTCCTTTTACTCCATAGACCTCAAACTGCTCCAAGTATCCCTTGCAGATACTACAAAAAGAGTGTTTCAAAACTGCTCAATCAAAAGAAAGGTTGAACTCTGTGAGATGAATGCACACATGAAGAAGTTTCTCAGAATGATTCTGACAAATATTTATGTGAAGATATTTCCTTTTCCACTATAGACTGCAAAGTGCTCCAAATATCCACTTGCAGATTCTACAAAAAGAGTGTTTCAAAACTGCTCAATCAAAAGAAAGCTTTAACTCTGTGAGATGAATGCACACATCACAAAGAAATTTCTCACAATGCTTCTGTCTAGTTTTTATGCGAAGATATTGCCTTTTCCACTTAAGGCCACATAGCGCTCGAAATATCCAATTGCAGGTTATACAAAAGGAGTCTTTCAAAACTGCTCTATCAAAATAAGGGTTCCATTCTGTGAGTTGAATGCACACATCACAAAGAAGTTTCTCAGAATGCTTGTCTACTATTTATGTGAAGATATTTCCTTTTCCACTATAGGCCTCAAAGTGTTCCAAATATCCATTGGCAGATTTTACAAAAAGAGTGTTTCAAAACTGCTCTATCAATAGAAAGGTTCAACTCTGTGATATGAAGGCACAGATCACAAAGAAGTATCACAGAATGTTTCTGTCTAATTTTATTGTGAAAATATTTCATTTTCCACCATATGCCTCAAAGCACTACAAATATCCACTTGCCGACTGTAGAAAAAGAGTGTTTCAAAAGTGGTGAATAAAAAGAAAATTTCAACGCTGTGAGATGAATGCATATATCACAAAGATGTTTCTCAGAATGCTTCTGTCTAATTTTTATATGAAGATATTTCCTTTTCCCCTATAGGCCACAAAGGCCTCCAAATATCCACTTGCAGATCCTACAAAAAGAGTGTTTGAAAACTTCACAATCAAAAGAAAGTTTCAACTCTGTGAGATGAATGCACACATCACAAGGAAGTTTCTCAGAATGCTTCTGTCTACTTTATGTGAAGATATTTCCTTTTCCAACAGAGACCACAAAGCACTCAAAATATCCACTTGCAGATTCCAAAAAAAGGGCATTTCAAAACTGCTCAATCAAAAGAAAGGTTCAACTCTGTGAGTTGAACACACACAGCACAAAGAACTTTGTCAGAATGCTTCTCTGTAGTTTTTATGTGAAGATATTTCCTTTTCCCCTATAGGCCACAAAGACCTCCAAATATCCACTTGCAGATTATACAAAAAGAGTGTTTGAAAACTTCACAATCAAAAGAAAGTTTCCTCTCTGTGAGATGAATGCACACATCACAAGGAAGTTTCTCAGAATGCTTCTGTCTACTTTATGTGAAGATATTTCCTTTTCCAACAGAGGCCACAAAGCACTCAAAATATCCACTTGCAGATTCTAAAAAAAGGGCATTTCAAAACTGCTCAATCGAAAGAAAGGTTCAACTCTGTGAGTTGAACACACACAGCACAAAGAACTTTGTCAGAATGCTTCTCTGTAGTTTTTATGTGAAGATATTTCCTTTTCCACCATAAGCCTCAAAGAGCTCCAAATATCCGCTTGCACACTCTACAAAAAGAGCGTTTCAAAACTGCTCAATCAAAAGAAAGGTTGAACTCTGTGAGATGAATGCACACATCACAAAGAAGTTTCTCAGAATGCTTCTCCATACTTTTTATGTGAAGATATATCCTTTTCCACAATAGGCCACAAAGCGCTCCAAATATCCACTTGTAGATCCTAAAAAAGTGTGTTTCAAAACTGCTCAATCAAAAGAAAGATTCAACTCTGTGTGTTGAATGAACACATCACAAACAAATTTCTCAGAATGCTTCTGTGTAGTTTTCATGTGAAGATATTTCCTTTTCCACCATAGGCCTCAAAGCGCTCCAAGTATCTAATTGGAGATTCCACAAGAGTGTTTCAATACTACTCAATCAAAAGAAAGCTTCAACTCTGTGAGATGAATCCACACATCACAAAGAAGTTTCTCAAAATGCTGCTGTCTAGTTTTTATGGGAAGATATGTCCTTTTCCACCATGGGCCTCAAAGTGCTCCAAATATCCACTTGCAGATTCTACAAAAATACAGTTTCCAAACTGCTCAATAAAAAGAAAGGTTCAACTCTGTGAGATGAATGCACACATCACAAAATGTTTCTCAGAATACTTCTGTCTAGTTTTTATTGGAAGATATGTCCTTTTCCACCAATGACCTCAAAGCGCTCCAAATATCCACTTGCAGATTGTACAAAAAGAGTGTTTCAAAACTGCTCAATCAAAAGAAAAGTTCAACTCTGTGAGATGAATCCACACATCACAAAGAAGTTTCTCAAAATGCTGCTGTCTAGTTTTTATGGGAAGACATGTCCTTTTCCACCATAGGCCTCAAAGTACCCTAAATATCCTTTTGCAGGCGAGAAAAAGACTGTGTCCAAACTGCTCAATCAAAAGAAAATTTCAGCTCTGTGAGATGAATGCACAAATCACAAAGAAAACTTTCTCAGAATTCTCCTTGCTTGTTTTTACGTGAAGATATTTCCTTTTCCAACACAGGCATCTAAGCACTCCAAATATCCAATTGAAGATTCCACAAAAAGAGTGTTTCAAAACTGCTCAATCATAAGATAGGTTTAACTTTGTGAGATGAATGCACACATCACTAAGAAGTTTTTCAGAATGCTTCTGTCTACTTTTCACATGAAGTTATTTCCTTTTCCACTATAGGCCTCAAATCACTCCAAATATCCACTTGCAGATCCTACAAAAAGAGTGTTTCCAAACTGCTAAATCAAAATAAAGGCTCAACTCTGTGAGATGAATGTACACATCACAAAGAGGTTTCTCAGAATGCTTCTGTCTAGTTTTTATGTGAAGATATTTCTTTTTCCACCAAAGGCCTCAAAGCACTCCAAGTATCCACTTGCAGATTCTACAAAAAGAGTGTTTAAATACTTCTCAAAAAAGAAAGATTCAGCTCAGTGAGATGAATGCATACATCACAAAGAACATTCTCAGAATGCTTCTGTCTAGCTTTTATGTGAAGATATTTCCTTTTCCATCATAGGCATCAAAGTGCTCCAAATATCCACTTGCAGATTCTACAAAAAGAGTGCGTTAAAACTGCTCAATCAAAAGAAAGTTTCAACACAGGTAGTTGAATGCACACATCACAAAGAAGTTACTCAGAATGCTTGTGTCTGATTTTTATGTGAAGATATTACCTTTTCCACAAAAGGCCTCAAAGTGCTCCATATATCCCCTTGCAGATTCTACAAAAAGAGTGATTAAATACTTCTCAAAAAAGAAAAGTTCAACTCTGTGAGATGAATGCTGAAATCGAAGAGAATTCTCTCAGAATGCTTCTTTCTGGGTTTTATGTGAAGATATTTCCTTTTCCTCTATAGGCCTCAAAACGCTACAAATATCCAGTTTCTGATACTACAAAAAGAGTTTGTTAAAACTACTCAATCAAAAGAAAACTTCAACACAGGGAGTTGAATGCACACATCACAAAGAAGTTTCTCTGAATGGTTGTGTCTGATTTTTTGTGAAGATATTTCCTTTTCCACCATAGGCCTCAACGTTCTCCAAATATCCAGTTGCAGATTCTGAAAAAAGAGTGTTTCAAAACTGCTCAATCAAAAGAAAGTTTCAACTCTGTGAAATGAATGCACACATGACAAAGAAGTTCCTCAGAATGCTTCTGTCAAGTTTTTATGTGAATATATTTCCTTTTTATTTATTTATTTATTTATTATTTTATTATTATTATACTTTAAGTTTTAGGGTACATGTGCACAATGTGCATGTTAGTTACATATGTATACATGTACCACGCTGGTGTGCTGCACCGATTAACTCGTCATTTAGCATTAGGTATATCTCCTAATGCTATCCCTGCCCCCTCACCCCACCCCACAACAGTCCCCAGAGTATGACGTTCCCCTTCCTGTGTCCATGTGTTCTCATTGTTCAATTCCCACTTATGAGTGAGAATACGCAGTGTTTGGTCTTTTGTTCTTGCGATATTTTACTGAGAATGATGATTTCCAATTTCATCCATGTCCCTACAAAGGACATGAACTCATCATTTTTATGGCTGCATAGTATTCCATGGTGTATATGTGCCATATTTTCTTAATCAAGTCTATCATTGTTGGACATTTGGGTTGGTTCCAACTCTTTGCTGTTGTGACTAGTGCCGCAATAAACATATGTGTGCATGTGTCTTTATAGCAGCATGATTTATAGTCCTTTGGTTATATACCCAGCAATGGGATGGCTGGGTCAAATGGTATTTCTAGTTCTAGATCCCTGAGGAATCACCACACGGACTTCTACAATGGTTGTACTAGTTTACAGTGCCACCCGCTGAGTAAAAGTGTTCCTATTTCTCCACATCCTCTCCAGCACCTGTTGTTTCCTGACTTTTTAATGATTGCCATTCTAATTGGTGTGTGACGGTATCTCCTTGTGGTTTTGATTTGCATTTCTCTGATGGCCAGTGATGGTGGGCATTTTTTCATGTGTTTTTTGGCTGCATAAACATATTCTTTTGAGAAGTGTATGTTCATGTCCTTCGCCCACTTTTTGAAGGGGTTGTTGGTTTGTTTTTTTTCCTTTTTAAACGTATGCCTCAAAGCACTCCAAATATCCATTTGCAGTTACTACAGAAACACTGTTTCCAAACTGCTCAATCAAAAGAAAGGTTCAACTCTGTGAAATGAATGCACACACCAGAAGGAAGTTTCTCAGAATGCTTCTGTCTGGTTCTTATCTGAAGATATTCTCTATTTCCTCAGAGGCCTCAGTAGGCTGAAAAATATCCCTCTACAGATTCTACAAAACTACCGTTTCCAAACTGCTCAATCAATACAAAGGTTCAACTCTGCGAAATTAATGCACACAAGACAAAGAAGTTTCTCAGAATGCTTCTGTATATTTTTAATGTGAAGATATTTCCTTTTTCACCATAGGTCTCAAAGCCCTCCAAATATCCACTTGCAGATTCTACAAAAAGACGGATTCCAAACTGCCCAATCAAAACAAAATTTCAACTCTGTGAGATGAAAGCACATATCACAAAGAATTTTCTCAGAATTTTTCTGTTTAGTTTTTATGTGAAGATATTTCCTATTACCCCATAAGCCTCAATGGGAACAAAAATACCCCTTCACAGATCCTACAAAACGATGGGCTCCAAACTGCTCAATCAAAAGAAAGTTAAATCCTGTGAGATGAATGCACATATCACAAAGAAGTTTCTCAGAATGCTTCTGTCAAGTTTCTATGTGAAGATATTACCTTTTCCAATATAGGACACAAAACGCTCCAAATATCGACTTGCAGATTCTACAAAAAGAGTTTTTCAAAACTGCTCAATCAAAAGAAAGCTTCAAGTCTGTGAGATGAGTGCACACATCACAAAGAAGTTTCTCAGAATGCTTCTGTCTAGTTTTTATGTGAAGATATTTCCTTTTCCACCATAGGCCTCAAAGCAAAAAAAAATATCTGTTTGCAGATTCCAAAAAAGACTGTTTCCAAACTGCTCAATCAAAAGAAAAGTTCAACTCTGTGAGATGAATGCACACATCACAAAGAAGTTTCTCAGAAAGTTTCTCTCTAGTTTTTATATGAAGATCTTTCCTATCACCCCATAGGCATTAATGGGTTCACAAATATCCCTCTGTAGATTCTACAAAATGACAGTTGGCAAACTGCTCAATCAAAGGAATGGTTCAACTCTGTGAAATGAATGCACACAACACAAAGAAGTTTCTCAGAATGCTTCTGTCCTGTTTTAATGTGAAGATATTTCCTATTCCACCATAGGCCTCAAAGCGCTCCAAATATCCACTTGCAGATTCTACACAAAGAGTGTTTCAAAATTCCTCAATCAAAATAAAGTTTCAAATCTGTGAGATTAATGCACACATCACAAAGCACTTTCTAGGAATCCTTCTGTCTGGTTTTTATGTGAGGATACTTCATTTTTCACCACAGGCCTCAGCTCCAAAAATTCATTTGCAGATACTACAAAAAGATTGTTTCCAAACTGCTCAATAAAGAGAAAGGTTCAAATATGAGAGATGAAACCACACACCACAAAGGTGTTTCTCAGAATTCTTCTTTGTGGTTTTTCTGTGAAGATATTTCCTTTTCCACCATAGGTCTCAAAGTGCAACAAATATCCACTTGCTGATTCTATAAAAAGTGTTTCAACACTGCTCAATCAAAACAAGGGTTCACAACCCAAATGTCCAACAATGATAGACTGGATTAAGAAAATGTGGCACATATACACCATGGAATACTATGCAGCCATAAAAAATGATGAGTTCATGTCCTTTGTAGGGACATGGATGAAATTGGAAACCATCATTCTCAGTAAACTATCGCAAGAACAAAAAACCAAACACCGCATATTCTCACTCATAAGTGGGAATTGAACAATGAGATCACATGGACACAGGAAGGGGAATATCACACTCTGGGGACTGTGGTGGGGTCGGGGGAGGTGGGAGGGATAGCATTGGGAGATATACCTAATGCTAGATGACACGTTAGTGGGTGCAGTGCACCAGCATGGCACATGTATACATATGTAACTTACCTGCACAATGTGCACATGTACCCTAAAACTTAAAGTACAATAAAAAAAAAAAAACAAGGGTTCAACTCTGTGAGCTCTGTGAGATGAATGCACACATCACAAAGAAGTTTCTGAGAATGCTTCTGTCTAGTTTTTATGTGAAGATATTTTCTTTTTCACCATAGGCCTCAAAGCTCTCCAAATATCCATTTGCAGATACTACAAAAAGACTGTTTCCAAACTGCTGAATCAAAGGAAAGGTTCAACTCCATGAGTTGAATGCACACATCACAAAGAAGTTTCTCAGAAAGCTTCTGACTAGTTTTTATGTGAAGATGTTTTCTTTTCCACCACAGGCCTCAAAGTGCTAAAAATATTCACTTGAAGATTCTACAAAAAGAGAGTTTCAAAACTGCTCAAACAAAAGAAAGGTTCAACTCTGTGACATTAATGCACACATCACAAAGAAGTTTCTCAGAATGCTTCTGTCTAGTTTTATGTGAAGATATTTCCTTTTCTACTATAGGCCCCAAAGCACTCCAAATATCAACTTGCAGATTCTGCAGAAAGAGTTTTTCAAAGCTGCTCAATCAAAAGAAAAGTTCAACTCTCTGAGATGAATGCACACATCATGAAGAAGTTCCTCAGAATGCTTCTGTCTATTTTTAATGTGAAGATATATCCTTTTCTACCAAAGACCACAAAGTGCTCCAAATATCCCCTTGCAGTTTCTACTAAAAGAGTGTTTCCAAACTGCTCAATCAAAAGAAAGTTTCAACTCTGTGAGATGAATGCACACATCACTGAGAAATTTCTCAGTAATTTTCTGTCTAGTTTTTATGTGAAGATATTTCCTTTCCTACTATAGGCCTGAAAGTGCTCCAAATATCCATTTGCATATACTGCAAAAAGACTGTTTCCAAACTGCTCAATCAAAGGAAAGGTCCAACTCTGTGAGTTGAATGCACGCATCTCAAAGAGATTTCTCAGAATGGTTCTGTCTAGTTTTTATGTGAAGATATTTGCTTTTCCACCAGTGGCCTCAAACTCTCCAAATATCCACTTGCAGATTGTACAATAAGAGTGTTTCAAAACTGCTCAATCAAAAGAAAGGTTTAACTCTGTGAGATGAATGTACACCTCACAAAGCACTTTCTCAGAATGCATCTGTCTAGTTTTTATGTGAAGATATTTCGTTTTTCACCATAGGCCGCAAGGCGTTCCAAATATCCCCTTCAGATTCTACAGAAAGAGTGTTTCAAAACTGTTCAATCAAAAGAAAGGTTCAACCCTGGTGATGAATGCACGCATCACAGAGCAGTTTCTCATAATGTTTCTGTCTAGTTTTTGTGTGTATATATTTCCTTTTCCACCACAGGCCCCAAAGCACTCCAAATATCCATTTGCAGGTACTACAAAAAGACTGTTTCCAAACTGCTCAATCAAAAGAAAAGTTTAAATCTGTGAGTTGAATGAGCACATCACAAATAAGTTTCTCAGAATGCTTCTGTCTAGTTTTTATGTGAAGATATTTCCTTTTCCACCACAGGCCACAAAGCATTCCAAATATCCACTTGAAGATTCTACAAAAAGAGTGCTTCAAAAATGCTCAATCAAAAGAAAGGTTCAACTCTTTGAGATGGATGCACATATCACAAAGAAGCTTCTCAGAATGCTTCTGTCTAGTTTTTATGTGAAGATATTTCCTTTTCCACCATAGGCCCCAAGTCTCTCCAAATATCTACTTTCAGAATCTCCAAAAAGAGCGTTTTGAAACTGCTGTATCAAAGAAAGTTTCAAGTCTGTGATATGACTGCACACAACACCGAGAAGTTTCTCAGAGTGCTTCTGTGTATTTTTTTATGTGAAGATATTTCCTTTTCCACTATCGGCCACAGAGCACTCCAAATATACACTTGCAGAACCTACAAAAAGAGTGTTTCAAACCTGCTCTATCAAAAGAAAGATTTAACTCTACGAGATGAATGGACACATCACAAAGAAGTTTCTCAGTATGCTTTTGTCTAGTTTTTATGTGAAGATGTTTCCTTTTCCAATCCATGATGTAAAGTGATCCAAATATCCACTGGTAGATATTACAAAAAGACTGCTTCCAAACTGCTCGATCAAAAGAAAGGTTCAACTCTGTGAGTTGAATGCACACATCACAAAGAATTTTCTCAGAATGCTTCTGTCTAGTTTTTATGTGAAGATATTTCCTTTTCCACCATAGGCCTCAAAGCGCTCAAAATGTCCAATTGCAGATACTACAGAAAGATGCTTTCCAAGCAGCTCAATCAGGGTAAATGTTCAGCTCTTTGAATTGAATGCACATCACAAAGTAGTTTCCCTGAATGCTTCCGTCTTGTATATATGTGAAGATATTTCCTTTTCCAATATAGGCCACCAAGCGCTACAAATATCAACTTGCAGATTCTGCAAAAACAGTGTTTCCAAACTGCTCAATCAAAAGAAACTTTCAACTCTGTGAGTTGAATGCACACATCACAAATAATTTTCTCAGAATGCTTCTTTCTAGTTTTCATATGACAATATTTCCTTTTCCACAACGTGACTCAAATCGCTCCAAAAATCCACAAGCAGATTCCATAAACAGAGTATTTCAAAACTGCTGAATCAAAAGAAAGTTTCAGCTCTGTAAGATGAATGCACACATCACAAAGAAGATTCTCAGAATGCTTCTGTCTAGTTTTCATGTGAAGATATTTCCTTTTCCACATTAGGCCTCAAATCTCTTCAAATATCCCTTGCAGATTCTACAAAAATAGTGTTTCAAAACTGCTCAATCGAAAGAAAGGTTCAAGTCTGCGAGATGAATGCACATCTCATAAAGAAGTTTCTCAAAGTGCTTCTTTCTAGTTTTTATTTGAAGATATATCCTTTTCCACAATAGGCCGCAAAGCGCTCCAAATATCCACTTGCAGATTCTTCAAAAAGAGTGTTTCAAAACTGCTCAATCAAAAGAAAGGTTCAACTGTGTTAGTTGAATGCACACATCACAAAGAAGCTTCTCACAATGCTTCCGTCTAGTTTTTAGGTGAAGATATTTCCTTTTCCACCGTAGACCCCAAAGTACTCCAAATATCCCCTGGTAGAGTCTACAAATGTGCGTTTCAAAACTACTCAATCAAAAGAAACGTTCAACTCAGTGAGATGAATGCACACATCACAAAGTTGTTTCTCAGAATGATTCTGTCCAGTTTTTATTTGAAGATATTTTCTTTTACACCATAGGCCCCAAAGTGCTCCCAATATCCACCTTCAGATTCTACAAAAAGTGTGTTTCAAAACTGCTTAATCAAAAGAAAGGTTCAAACCTGTGAGTTGAATGTACACATCACAAAGAAGTTTCTCAGAGTGCTTCTGTCTAGTTTTGATGTGAAGATATTTCCTTTAACACCGTAGGACTGGAAGTGCTCCAAATATCCACTTGCAGATTCTACAAAAAGAGTGTTTCAAAACTGCTCAATCAAAAGAAAAGTTCAACTCTGTGAGAAGAATGCACACATCACAAAGAAGTTTCGCAGAATATTTCTGTCTAGTTTTTATGTGAAGATATTTCCTTTTCCACTCGAGGCTGGAAAGCGCTTCAAATATCCAATTGCAGATTCTACAAAAGAGTGTTTCAAAACTGCTCAATCAAAGGAAAGGTCCAATTCAGTGAGCTGAATGTGAACATCAGAGGGAAGTTTCTCAGAATACCTCTGTGCAGTTTTTATGTGAAGATATTTACTTTTCCACCATAAGTCCCAAACCTCTCCAAATATCCACTTGCAGATTCAACAAAAAGTGTGTTTCAAAACTGCTCAATCAAAAGAAAGGTTCAACTCTGTGAGTTGAATGCACACATCACAAAGAAGTTTCCCAGAATGTGTCTGTGTAGCTTTTATGCAAAGTTATTTCCTTTTCCACAATACTCCGCAAAGACCTCCGAGTATCTACTTGCAGATTCCACAAAAAGAGTTTCAAAACTGCACAATCAAAAGAATGGTTCAACGCTGTGATTTGAATACACACATCACAAAGTCGTTTCTCAGAATGCTTTTCCGTAGTTTTTATATGAAGATATATCCATTTCCACCATTCTCTCCAAAGCGTTCCAAATATCCACTTGCAGATTCTACAAAAAGAGTGTTTCAAAACTGTTCAATCGAATTAAAGGTTCATCTCTTTGAGATGAATGCACACAACACAAAGAAGTTTCTCAGAATGCTTCTGTGTAGTTTTTATGTGAAGGTATTTCCTTTTACACCATAGGCCACAAAGGGCTCCAAATATTCCCTTACAGATTCTACATAAAGAGAGTTTCAAAACTCCTCTATCAAAAGATAGATACAACTCTGAGTTAAATGCACACATCTCAAAGAAGTTTCTCAGAATGCTTCTGTTTAGTTGTTATGTGAAGATATTTCCATTTCTACAATATGCCTCAAAGCGCTCCAAGTATCCACTTGTAGATTTTACTAAAAGAGTGTTTCCAAACTGCTCAATCAAAAGAAAGTTACAACTCTGGGAGATGAATGCACATATTACACAGAAGTTTCTCAGAATGCTTCTGTGTAGTTTTTATGTGAAGATATATCCTTTTCCACAATGGGCCTCAAAGCGCTCTGTGACATGAATGAACACTTAAAAAGACATTTCTCAGAATGCTTCTGTGTAGTTTTTATGTGAAGATATTTCCTTTTCCACCATAGGCCACAAAGGGCTCCAAATATCCACTTGCAGGTTCTACAAAAAGAGAGTTTCAAAATTGCTCTATCAAAAGATAGGTTCAACTCTGTGAGCTGAATGCACTCATCACAAACAAGTTTCTCAGAATGCTTCTGTGTAATTTTTATGTGAAGATATTTCCTTTTCCACAATAGGCCTCTAAGCACTACAAATATCCACTTGCAGATTCTACAAATAGTGGTTTTCAAAACTGCTCAATGAAAAGAAATGTTCACCACAGTGTGTTGAACGAACATTTCACAAAGAAGTTTTTCAGAATGCTTCTGTGTAGCTTTAAGTGAAGATATTTCCTTTTCCACCATAGGCCTCAATGCACTCCAAATATCTAGTTGCAGATTCTACAAAAAGTGTGTTTCAAAATTGCTCAATCAAAAGAAAGTTGAACTATGTGAGATGAATGCGCACCTTGCAAAGTAGTTTCTCAGAATGCATCTGTGATGTTTTTATGTAAAGATATTTTCTTTTCCACAGTAGGACTCAAGGGGCTCCAAATATCCACTTGCAGATTCTACAAAAAGACTGTTTCAAAAGTGCTCAGTGAAAAGAAAGGTTCAACACTCTGAGATGAATCCACACATGACAATGAAGTTTCTCAGAATGCTTCTGTGTAGTTTTTATGTGAAGTTATTTCCTTTTCCACCAGAGGCCAAAAAAGGTTCCAAATATCCACTTGCAGATTCTACAAAAAGAGAGTTTGAAAACTGTACAATCAAAAGATAGGTTCAAATCTGTGGTTTGAATACACACGTCAGAAAGAAGTTTCTCAGAATGCTTCTGTGTAGATTTTATGTGAAGATATATCCTTTTCCACCATAGACCCCAATGCGCTCAAAATATCCACTTAGAGATACTACAAAAACAGTGTTTGAAAACTGCTCAATCAAAAGAAAAGTTCAACTCTGTGAGATGAACGCACACATCACAAAGAAATTTGTCAGAATGTTTCTGTGTTGTTTTCATGTGAAGATATTTCCTTTTCTACAATAGGCCTCAAAGTGCTCCAAATATCCACTTGCAGATTCTACAAAAATAGTGTTTCAAAACAGCTCAATCAAAAGAAATGTTGAACTCTGTGATATGAATGCACACATCACCAAGAAGTTTTTTTCAGAATGCTTCTGTGAAGTTTTTATGTGAAGATATTTCTTTTTCCACCACAGGCAGCAAGGGGCTCTAAATATCCACTTGCAGATTCTACAAAAAGAGATTTTCAAAGCTCCTCAATAAAAAGTTAAGTTCAACTCTGTGAGTTGAATGCTCACATCACAAAGAAGTTTCTTTGAATGCTTCTGTGTAGTTTTTATGTGAAGATATTTCCTTTTACACCATAGGCCTCAAAGCGCTCCAAATATCCACCTGCAGATTCCAAAAAAAAAAGTGTTTCAATACTGCTTATCAAAAGATAGGTTCAACTCCGAGAGTTGAATGCACACATCACAAATAAGTTTCTCAGAATGCTTCTGTGTATTTTTTATGGGAAGATATTTCCTTTTCCTCAATATGCCTCCTAGCACTGCAAATATCCACTTGCAGATCACCCTAAAAGAGTATTTCCAAACTGCATAGTCAAAAGAAAGGTGAAATGAATGCACAATCACAAAAATTATCTCAGACTCCTTCTGTGTAGTTTTTATGTGAAGATATTTTCTTTTTTGCAATAGGCTCAAAGCTCTCCAAAGATCCACTTGCAGATTCTACAAAAGAGTTTTTCAAAACTGCTCAATCAAAATAAAGGTTCATCTCTGTCAGATGAATGCACACATCACAAGGTAGTTTGTTAGAATGCTTCTGTGTAGTTTTTATGTGAAGATATTTCCTTTTCCACCTTAGGCCACAAAAGGCTCCACATATCCACTTGCAGTTTCTACAAAAAGAATGTTTCCAAACTGGTCAATCAAAAGAAATGTTCAACTCTGTGAGTTGAATGCACACATCACAAAGAAGTTTCACTGAATTCTACTGTGTAGTTTCTATGTGAAGATATTTCCTTTTCCACAATAGGCCTCAAAGCATTCCAAGTATCCACTTGCAGATTCTACAAAGAGATTGTTTCAAACCTGCTCAATCAAAAGAATGGTTCAACTCTGTGAGAGTAATGCACACATCACAAAGAAGTTTCTCAGAATGTTTCTGTGTAGTTTTTATGTGAAGGTATTCCCTGTTTCACCATATGCCGCAAAGGGCTCCAAATAGCAACTTGCAGTTTCTACAAAAAGAGTGTTTCAAAACTTCTCCATCAAAAGAAAAGTTCAACTCTGTGAGATGAATGCACACATCACAAAGAAGTTTCTCACAATGTTTCTGTGTAGTTTCTATCTGAAGATATTTCCTTTTTTCATATAGACCGCAAAGGGCTCCAAATATCCAGTTGCAGATTCTACAAAAACAGTGTTTCAAAACTGCACAATCAAAAGAAATATTCATCTCTGTGAGACGAATGCAAACATCACAAAGAAGTTTCTCAGAATGCTTCTGTGAAGTTTTTATGTGAAGATATTTCCTTTTCCACTATAGGGT
Source organism: Homo sapiens (assembly GCF_000001405.40). Taxonomy (NCBI): domain Eukaryota; kingdom Metazoa; phylum Chordata; class Mammalia; order Primates; family Hominidae; genus Homo; species Homo sapiens. The sequence continues at coordinate 7,294,048 of NC_000021.9, read as the reverse complement.
TGAAATCGTCCAAGTTTCCACTTGCAGATTCTACAAAGAGAGTGTTTCAAAACTGCTCAATCATAAGATAGGTTCCAATCTATGAGATGAATGCACACATCACAAAGAAGTTTCTCAGAATGCTTCTGTGTAGTATTTATTTCAGGATATTTCCTTTTCCTCCATAGGCTGCAAAGGGCTTCAAATATCCACTTGCAGATTCTACAAAAAGTGTGTTTCAAAAGTTCTCAATCAAAAGAAACTTTCAACTCTGTGGGATGAATGCACACATCACAGAGATGTTTCTCAGAATGCTTCTGTGTGGTTTTTACGTGAAGATATTTGTTTTTCCACAGTAGGCCTCAAAGCATTCCAAATATCCACTTGCAGATTCTATAAAAACAGTGTTTCAAAACTGCTCAACCAAAAGAAACATACAGCTCTGTTAGATGAATACGCACATCACAAAGTAGTTGCTCAGAATAATTCTGTGTAGGTTTTATGTGAAGCTATTTCCTTTTACCCAACTGGCCACAAAGCACTCCAAATATTCCCCTGAAGATTCTGCAAAGAGAGTGTTTCAAAGCTGCTCAGTCATAAGATAGGTTCATCTCTGTGAGATGAATGCACACATCACAAAGAAGTTTCTCAGAATGCTTCTGTGTAGATTTTATTTGAAGATATTTCCTTTGCCTCCATGAACCACAAAGGACTCAAAATATCCACTTCCAAATCCTAGAAAAAGAGAAATCCATAACTGCTCAATCGAAATATAGGTTCAAGTTTGTGAGTTGAATGAACACATCACAAAGAAGTTTCTCAGAATGCTTCTGTGTAGTTTTTATGTGAAGATATTTCCTTTTCCAAAATAGGCCTCAAAGTCCACAAAATATCCACTTGCAGATTCTACAAAAACAGTATTTAAAAACTGCTCAATCAAAAGACAGATTAGACTCTGTGAGTTGAATGCACACATCACAAAGAACTTTCTCAGAATGCTTTTGTGTAGTTTTTATGTGAACATATTTCCTTTTCCACAATATGCCTCAAATCGTTCCAAGGATCCACTTGTAGATTCTACAAAGAGAGTGTTTGAAAACTGCTAAACCATAACATAGATTCAACTCTGTGAGATGAATGCACACATCACAAAGTAGTTTCTCAGAATGATTCTGTGTAGTTTTTATGTGAAGATATTTCCTTTTCCACTATAGGCCTCAAAATGCTCAAAATATCCACTTGCAGATTCTATAGAAAGAGTGTTTCAAAACTGCTCAATCAAAATAATGTTTCAACTGTGTGAGATGAATGCACACATCACAAAATTTTCTCAGAATGCTTCTGTGTAGTTTTTATGTGAAGATAATTGCTTTTACAAAGTAGACCTCAAATCTCTCCAAATATCCACTTGCAGATCCTACAAAAACTGTGTTCCAAAACTTCTCAATGAAAAGAAAGGTTCAACTATGTGAGATGAATGCACACATCAAAAAGAAGTTTCTCAGAATGCTTCTGTGTAGTTTTTATGTGAAGATATTGCCTTTTCGACAATAGACTTCAGTGCGCACCAAATATCCACTTGCAGAATCTACAAAAGGAGTGTTTCAAAACTCCTCCATCAAAAGAAAGGTTCAACTCTGTGAGATGAATGCAAATAGAACCTAGAAATTTCTGAGAATTCTTCTCTGTAGTTTTTATTTGAAGATATTTCCTTTGCCTCCATAGACCGCAAGAGGCTCCAAATATCCAATTCCAGATTCTAGAAAAAGAGAGAACCAAAACTGCTCAATCAAAAGAAAATTTCAACACTGTGAGATGAATGCACACATCACAAAGAAGTTTCTCAGAATGCCTCTGTGTGGTTTTTATGTGAAGATATTTGTTTTTCCACAGTAGGCCTCAAATGGCTCCAAATATCCACTTGCAGATTCTACAAAAACTGAGTTTCAAAACTGCTCAATCAAAAGAAAGATTCAACTATGTCAAATGAATGCACATATCATAAAGAAGTTTCTTAGAATCCTCCTGTGTAGTGTTTATTTGAAGATATTTCCTTTTCCTCTATAGGCTGCAAAGGTATCCAAATATCCTCTTGTAGATTCTACAAAAAGAGAGATTCAAAACTGCTCTATGAAAAGATAGGTTCAACTCTGTGTGTTGAATGCTCACATGATGAAGAAGTTTCTCAGAATGCTTCTGTGTAGTTTTTATGTGAAGATATTTCCTTTTCCACTGTAGTCCTCAAAGTGTTCAAAATATCCACTTGCAGATTCTACAGAAAGAGTGTTTCAAAACTGCTCAATCAAAAGAAAGGTTCAACTCTGTGAGATGAATGCACACATCACAAAGAAGTTACTCAGAATGCCTCTGCATAGGTTTTGTGTGGAAATATTTACTTTTCCACAATAGGCATCAAAGCGCTCAAAATATCCTCTTGCAGATTTTACAAAAACCGTGTTTCAAAACTGCTCTAACAAAAGAAAGGTTCAACTCTGTGAGATGAATGCACACATCACAAAGAAGATTATCAGAATGCTTCTATGCACTTTTTATGTGAAGATATTTCTTTTCCACAATAGACCTCAAAGCGCTTCAAATATCAACTGGAAGATTATACAAAGAGAGTGTTTCAAAACTGCTCAATCATAAGATAGGTTCATCTCTGTTCAGTGAATTTACACATCAAATGAAGTTACTCAGAATGCCTCTTTATAGTTTTTCTGTGAACATATTTACTTGTCCACAATAGGCCTCAAAGAGCTCAAAATATCCTCTTGCAGATTTTTCAAAAACAGTGTTTGAAAACTGCTCTACCAAAAGAAAGGTTTAACACTGTGGGATGAATGCACACATCACAAAGAAGATTCTCAGAATGCTTCCATGTAGTTTTTATTTCAAGATATTTCCTTTTCCTCCATAGGCTGAAAAGGGCTCCAAATATCTACTTGCAGATTATACAAAAAGAGAGATTCAAAACTACTGAATCAAAAATAGGTTTAACTCTGTGTTATGAATGCACTCATCACAATGAAGTTTCTCAGAATGATTCTGTGTAGTTTTTATATGAAGATAGTTTCTTTTATTCAATAGACCTCAAAGCACTCCAAATATCCACTTGCAGTTTCTACAAAAAGAGTGTCTCAAAACTGCTCAATGATAAGATGGATTCAACTCTGTGAGAAGAATGCACACATCACAAAGAATTTTCTCAGAATTCTTCTGTGTAGTTTTTATGTGTAGATATTTACTTTTACACCATAGACTCCAAAATGCTCCAAATATCCACTTGCAGATTCTACAAAAAGAGTGATCCCAAACTGCTCAAACAAAAGAAATGTTCAACTTTGACAGATGAATGCACACATCACAAAGAACTTCCTCAGAATGCTTCTGTGTAATTTTTCTGTGAAGATATTTCCTTTTCCACCATAGGCCTCAAAGCGCTCCAAATATCCACTTGCAGATTCTACAAAAAGAATGTGAAAACTGCTGAATCGACAGAAAGGTTCAACTCTGTGAGATGAATGCATACATCACAAAGAAGTTTCTCAGAATGTTTCCGTGTAGTTTTTTTGTGATGATATTTCCTTTCCCACAATAGGCACCAAAGCGCTCCAGATATCCACTTTCAGATTCTACAAACAGAGGGTTTCAAAACTGCTCAATCAAAAGATAGGTTCAAGTGTGTGAGATGAATGCACACAACAGGAAGTTTCTCAGAATATTTCTGTGTAGTTTTCATTTGAAGATATCTCCTTTTCCACCATTGGCCGCAAAGGGCTCCAAACTTCCACTTGCAGATTCTACAAAAAGAGAGATTCAAAACTGTTCAATCAAAGGTAGCTTCAACTCTGTGAGTTGAATGCACACATCACAGAGAAGTTTCTCAGAATGCTTCTGTGTAGTTTTTATGTGAAGATATTTCCTTTTGCACCATATGCCACAAAGGCCTCCAAATACTCATTCCAGATTCTTCAAAAAGAGAGTTTCAAAACTGCCCAATCAAAAGATAGGCTCAACTCCGTGAGATGAATGCACACATCACAAAAACTTTCTCAGAATGCTTCTGTGTAGTTTTTATGTGATGATATTTCTTTTTCCACCATAGGCCACAAAGGGCTTTAAATATCCACTTGCAGATTCCACAGAAAGAGAGACTCAAAACTGGTCAATCAAAAGATAGATTCAACCCTGTGAGTTGAATGCACAGATCACAGAGAAATTTCTCAGAATGCTTCTGTGTAGTTTTTATGTGAAGATATTTCCTTTTCCACTGGAGGCCTCAAAGCGCTACAAATATCAACTTGCACATTCTGCAAAAAGAGTGTTTCCAAACGACTCAATCAAAAGAAACGTTGAACACTCTGAGATGAATGCACACATCACAAAGAAGTTTCTCAAAATTCTTCTGTGTAGTTTTTGTGTGAAGATACTTCCTTTTCCTTATTAGGCCACAAAGGACTCCCAATATCCACTTGCAGATTATTGAAAAAGATAATTACAAAACTGCTCAATCAAAAAATAGGTTCAACTCTGTGAGTAGAATGAATACATCACAGAGAAGTTTCTCAGAATGCTTCTGTGTACTTTTTATGAGAAGATATTTCCTTTTCTACCATAGGCCACAAAATGCTCCAAATATACACTGGCGGATTACAGAAAAAGAGAGTTTCAAACTGCTCAATCAAATAAAGGTGCAAATCTGTGAGATGAATGCTCACATTACAAAGAAGTTTCTCAGAATGCTTCTGTGTAGTTTTTATGTGAAGATATTTCCTTTTCCACCATAGGCTACAAGGATTTCCTAATATTCACTTGCAGATTCTACAAAAAGAGAGTCTCAAAACTGGTCAATCAAAAGATAGGTTCAACCCTGTGAGTTGAATGCACACACCACAAAGAAGCTTGTCACAATAGTTTTGTGTAGTTTTTATGTGAAGGTATTTCCTTTTCCACTGTAGTCTTCAAAGTGCTCCAAGTATTAAATTGCAGATTCTACAAAAAGAGTGTTTCCAAACTGCTCAAACTAAAGAAAGGTTCAACTCTGTCAGATGAATGCACACATCGCATAGAAGTTTCTCAGAATGTTTCTGTATAGTTTTTATGTGGAGATATTTCCTTTTCCACAATAGGCCTTAAAGCGCTCCAAATATCCAACTGCAGATTCTACAAAAAAAAAGTGTCTCAAAACTGCTGAATCAACAGAAAATTTCAAATCTGTGAGATGAATGCACACGTCACAAAGAAGTTTCTCAGAATGTTTCTGTGTAGTTTTAAAGTGAAGATATTTCCTTTTACACCAGAGGCTGCAAATGGCTCCAAATATCCACTTGCAGGTTCTACAAAAAGAGAGTTTCAAAACTTCTTAATCAAACGATAGGTTCAACTCTGGGAGATGAATCCACACGTCACAAAGAAGTTTCTCAGAATGCCTCTGTGTATTTTTCATGTGACGACATTTTCTTTACCACCGTAGGACTCAAAACCCTCCAAATATCCACGTACAGATTCTACAAAAGGAGTGTTTCCAAACTGCACAATCAAAAGAAAAGTTCAACTCTGTGAGATGAATGCACACATCACAAAGAAGTTTCTCAGGATGCTTCTGTGTAGTTTTTATGTGAGGATATTTCCTTTTACACCATAGGCTGCAAAGGGTTCCCAATATCCACTTGCAGATTCTACAAAAAGAGAGTTTCAAAACTGCTGTATCAAAAGATAGGTTCAACTATGTGACTTGAATACAAACATAACAAAGAAGTTTCTCAGAATGCTTCTGTGAAGTTTTTACGTGAAGATATTTCCTTTTCCATCATAGGCCACATAGCACTCCAAATATCCACTTGCGGATTCTACAAAAACAGTGTTTCCAAGCTGCACAATCAAAAGAAACGTTCAACTCCTTGAGATGAATGCACACATCACAAAGAAGTTTCTCAGAATGCTTCTGTGTAGTTTTTATGTGAGGATATTTTCTTTTCCACAATAGGCCTCAAAGCACTCCAAATATCCACTTGCAGATTCTACAAAAGAGAGTTTCAAAACTGGTCAATCAAAAGATAGGTTTAGCTCTGTGATTTGAATGCACACATCACAAAGAAGTTTCTCAGAATGCTTTTGTGTAGTTTTTATGTAAAGATATTTCCTTTTCAGCCATAGGCCTCAATTCCCTCCAAATATTCACTTGCAGATTCTATAAAAAGAGTGTTTCTAAACTGCCCAAACAAAAGAAAGGTTGAAGTCAGTCGGATGAATTCGCACATCGCAAAGAAGTTTCTCAGAATGATTCTGAGTAGTTTTGATGTGAAGATATTAACTTCTCCACAGTAGGCCTCAAAGCCCTCAAAATATCCACATGATCATTCTACAAAAAGGGTATTTCATAACTGCTCAATCAAAAGAAAGTTCCTATTCTGTGAGATGAATGTACACATCACAAAGAAGTTTCTCAGAATGCTTCTTTGTAGTTTTTATCTGAAGATATTTCCTTTTTCACCATAGGCCACAAAGGGCTCAAAATATCCACTTGCAGATTGCACAAAAAGACAGTTTCAAAGCTGCTCAATCCAAAGATATGTTCAAGTCTGTGAGTTGATTGCATACATCACAAATAAGTTTCTCAGAATCCTTCTTTGTAGTTTTTATGTGAAGATATTTCCTTTTCCACCGTAGGCCTCAAAACCCTCCAAATATCCACTTTCACATTCCACGAAAAGGGCGTTTCAAAACTGCTCAATCAAAAGAAAAATTCAACTCTGTGAGATGAATGCACACATCACAAAGCAGTTTTTCAGAATGCTCCTGTGTAGTGTTTATCTGAAGATATTTCCTTTTCCACCATAAGCCTCAAAGGGCTCCAAATATCCACTTGCAGATTCTACAAAAAGAGTGTTTCCAAACTGCTTAAAGAAAGTTTCAACTCTGTCAGATGAATGCACACATCGCAAAGAAGCTTCTCAGAATGCTTCTGTGTAGTTTTTATGTGAAGATATTTCCTTTTCCACAATAGTCCCCTAAGCCTTCCAAATATCCACTTACTGATTCTACAAAAAAAAGTTTCCAAACTGCTCAAACAAAAGAAAGGTTCAAGTCTGTGAGATGAATGAACCCTTCACAGAGAAGTTTCTCAGAATGCTTCTGTGTAGTTTTTTTGTGAAGATATTTCCTTTTACACCATAGGTCACAAAGGGCTCCATATATCCACTTGCAGATTCTACAAAAAGACAGTTTCAAAATTGCTCTTTAAAAAGACAGGTTCAACTCTGTGAGTTGAATACACATATAACAAAGAAGTTTCTCAGAATGCTTCCGTGAAGTTTTTATGTGACGGTATTTCGTTTTCCACAATAGGCCACATAACACTCCAAGTATCCACTTGCAGATTCCACAAAAACAGTATTTCAAGCTGCACAATCAAAAGAAATATTCAACTCTGTGAGATGAATGCACACATCACCAAGAAATTTCTCAGAACGCTTCTGTGTAGGTTTTATGTGAAGATGTTTCCTTTTGCACTATAGGCCGCAAAGGGCTCCATATATCCACTTCCAGATTCTACAAAAATATATTTTCAAAACTGTTCAATCAAAAGATATGTTCAACTCTGAGAGTTGCATGCATTCATCACAAAGAAGTTTCTCAGAGTACTGCTGTGTAGTTTTTTTTTAAATTTAATTTATTTTATTATTATTATACTTTAAGTTTTAGGGTACATGTGCACATTGTGCAGGTTAGTTACATATGTGTACATGTGCCATGTTGGTGTGCTGCATCCATTAACTCGTCATTTAGCATTAGGTATATCTCCTAATGCTCTCCCTCCCCCCTACCCCCACCCCACATCAGTCCCCAGAGTGTGATGTTCCCCTTCCTGTGTCCATGTGTTCTCATCGCTCAATTCCCACCTATGAGTGAGAGCATGCAGTGTTTGGTTTTTTGTCCTAGCGATAGTTTACTGAGAATGATGATTTCCAATTTCATCCATGTCCCTACAAAAGACATGAACTCATCATTTTTGTATGGCTCCATAGTATTCCATGGTGTATATGTGCCACATTTTCTTAATCCACTCTGTTATTGTTGGACATTTGGGTTGGTTCCAAGTCTTTGCTATTGTGAATAGTGCTGCAATAAACATACGTGTGCATGTGTCTTTATAGCAGCATGATTTATAGTCCTTGGGTATATACCCAGTAATGGGATGTCTGGGTCAAATTGTATTTCTAGATCTACATCCCTGAGGAATCGCCACACTGACTTCCACAATGGCTGAATTAGTTTACAGCCCCACCAAAAGTGTAAAAGTGTTTCTATTTCTCCACATCCTCTCCAACACCTGTTGTTTCCTGACTTTTTAATGATTGCCATTCTAAATGGTGTGAGGTGGTATCTCATTGTGGTTTTCATTTGCATTTCTCTGATGGCCAGTTAAGGATAAGCATTTTTTCATGTGTTTTTGGCTGCATAAATGTCTTCTTTGGGAAGTGTCTGTTCATGTCCTTCACCCACTTTTTGATGGGGTTGTTTGTTTTTTTTCTTGTAAATTTGTTTGAGTTCATTGTAGATTCTGTATATTAGCCCTTTGTCAGATAAGTAGGTTGTGAAAACTATCTCCCATTTTGTACATTGCCTGTTCACTCTGCTGGTAGTTTCTTTTGCTGTGCAGAAGCTCTTTAGTTTAATTAGATCCCATTTGACAATTATAGCTTTTGTTGCCATTGTTTTTGGTGTTTTAGACATGAAGTCCTTGCCCACGCCTACGTCCTGTATGGTAATGCCTGGGTTTTCTTCTAGGATTTTTATGGTTCTAGGTCTAACATTTAACTTTTTAAACCATCTTGAATTAATTTTTGTATAAGGTGTAAGGAAGGGATCCAGTTTCAGCTTTCGACATATGGCTAGCCAGTTTTCCCAGCACCACTTATTAAATAGGGAATCCTTTCCCCATTGCTTGTTTTGTTCAGGTTTATCAAAGATCAGATAGTTGTAGATATGCAGTGTTATTTCTGAGGGCTCTGTTCTGTTCCATTGATCTATATCTCTGTTTTGGTACCAGTACCATGCTGTCTTGGTTACTGTAGCCTTGTAGTATAGTTCGAAGTCAGGTAGCCTGATGCCTCCAGCTTTGTTCTTGTGGCTTAAGATTGACTTGTTGATGCGGGCTCTTTTTTGGTTCCATATGAACTTTAAAGTAGTTTTTTTCCAATTCTGTGAAGAAGGTCATTGGTAGCTTGATGGGGATGGCATTGAATCTATAAATTACCTTCGGCAGTATGGCCATTTTCACGATATTGATTCTTCCTACCCATGAGCATGGAATGTTCTTCCATATATTTATATCCTCTTTTATTTCATTGAGCAGTGGTTTGTAGTTCTCCTTGAAGAGGTCCTTCACATCCCTTGTAAGTTGGATTCCTACACATTTTATTCTCTTTGAAGCAATTGCAAACGGGAGTTCACTCTTGATTTGGCTCTGTTTGTCTGTTATTGGTGTATAAGAATGCTTGTGATTTTTGCACATTGATTTTGTATCCTGAGACTTTGCTGAAGTTGCTCATCAGCTTAAGGAGATTTTGGGCTGAGACAATGGGGTTTTCTAGATATACAATCATGTCATCTGCAAACGAGCACAATTTGACTTCCTCTTTTCCTAATTGAATACCCTTTATTTCCTTCTCCTGCTTAATGGCCCTGGCCAGAATTCCCAACACTATGTTGAATAGGACTGGTGAGAGAGGGCGTCTCTGTCTTGTGCCAGTTTTCAAAGGGAATGCTTCCAGTTTTTGGCCATTCAGTATGATATTGGCTGTGGGTTTGTCATAGCTAGCTCTTATTATTTTGAGATACGTCCCATCAATACCTAATTTATTGAGAGTTTTTAGCATGAAGGGATGTTGAATTTTGTCAAAGGCCTTTTCTGCATCTATTGAGATAATCATGTGGTTTTTGTCTTTGGTTCTGTTTATATGCTGGATTACATTTATTGATTTGCATATATTGAACCAGCCTTGCATCCTAGGGATGAAGCCCACTTGATCATATTGGATAAGCTTTTTGATGTGCTTCTGGAATCGGTTTGCCAGTATTTTATTGAGGATTTTTGCATGAATGTTCATCAAGGATATTGGTCTAAAATTTTGTTTTTTTGTTGTGTCTCTGCCCGGCTTTGGTATCAGGATGATGCTGGCCTCATAAAATGAGTTTGGGAGGATTCCCTCTTTTTCCATTGATTGGAATAATTTCAGAAGGAAAGGTACCAGTTCCCCCTTGTACATCTGGTAGAATTTGGCTGTAAATCCTTCTGGTCCTGGACTCTTTTTGTTGGTAAGCTATTGATTATTGCCACAATTTCAGAGCCTCTTATTGGTCTATTCAGAGAGTCAACTTCTTCCTGGTTTAGTCTTGGGAGGGTGTATGTGTCTAGGAATTTATCCATTCCTTCTAGATTTTGTAGTTTGTTTGTGTAGAGGTGTATGTAGTATTCTCTGATGGTAGTTCGTATTTTTGTGGGATCAATGGTGATACTCACTTTATCATTTGTTATTGCGTCTATTTGATTCTTCTTTCTTTTCTTCTTTATTAGTCTTGCTAGTGGTCTATCAATTTTGTTGATCTTTTCAAAAAACAAGCTCCTGGATTCACTAATTTTTTGAAGGGTTTTTTGTGTCTCTATTTCCTTCAGTTCTGCTCTGATTTTAGTTATTTCTTGCATTCTGCTAGCTTTTGAATGTGTTTGCTCTTGCTTTTCTGGTGCTTTTAATTGTGATGTTAGGGTGTCAATTTTGGATCTTTCCTGCTTTCTCTTGTGGGCATTTAGTGCTATAAATTTCCTTCTACACACTGCTTTGAATGTGTCCCGGAGATTCTGGTATGTTGTGTCTTTGTTCTCATTGGTTTCAAAGAACATCTTTATTTCTGCCTTCATTTTGTTATGTACCCAGTAGTCATTCAGGAGTAGGTTGTTCAGTTTCCATGTAGTTGAGCGGTTTTGAGTGAGTTTCTTAATCCTGAGTTCCAGTTTGATTGCACTGTGGTCTGAGAGACAGTTTGTTATAATTTCTGTTCTTTTACATTTGCTGAGGATAGCTTTAGTTCCAACTATGTGGTCAATTTTGGAATAGGTGTGGTGAGGTGCTGAAAAAAATGTATATTCTTTCGATTTGGGGTGGAGAGTTCTGTAGATGTCTATTAGGTCCGCTTGGTGCAGGGCTGAGTTCAATTCCTGGGTATCCTTGTTAACTTTTTGTCTCGTTGATCTGTCTAATATTGACAGTGGGGTGTTAAATTATCCAATTATTATTGTGTGGGAGTCTAAGTCTCTTTGTACATCACTCAGGACTTGCTTTAAGAATCTGGGTGCTCCTGTGTTGAGTGCATATATATTTAGGATAGCTAGCTCTTCTTGTTGAATTGATCCCTTTACTATTATGTAATGGCCTTCTTTGTCTCTTTTGATCTTTGTTGATTTAAAGTCTGTTTTATCAGAGACTAGGATTGCAACCCCTGCCTTTTTTTGTTTTCCATTTACTTGGTAGATCTTCCACCATCCTTTCATTTTGAGCCTATGTTTGTTTCTGCATGTGAGATGGGTTTCCTGAATACAGCACACTGATGGGTCTTGACTCTTTATCCAAATTGCCAGTCTGTGTGTTTAATTGGAGCATTTAGTCCATTTACATTTAGAGTTAATATTGTTATGTGTGAATTTGATCCTGTCGTTATGATGTTTTTTGGTTATTTTGCTCGTTAGTTGATGCAGTTTCTTACTAGCCACAGTGGACTTTACAATTTGGCATGATTTTGCACTGGCTGGTACTGGTTGTTTCTTTCCATGTTTAGTTCTTCCTTCAGGAGCTCTTTTAGGGCAGGCCTGGTGGTGACACAATCTCTCAGCATTTGATTGTCTGTAAAGTATTTTATTTCTCCTTCACTTATGAAGCTTAGTTTGGCTGGATATGAAATTCTGGGTTGAAAATTCTTTTCTTTAAAAATGTTGAATATTGGCCCACACTCTCATCTGGCTTGTAGAGTTTCTGCCAAGAGATCTGCTGTTAGTCTGATGGGCTTCCCTTTGAGGGTAACACCACCTTTCTCTCTGGCTGCCCTTAACATTTTTTCCTTTATTTCAACTTTGGTGAATCTGACAATTATTTGTCTTGGAGTTGCTCTTCTCGAGGAGTACCTTTGTGGCATTCTCTGTATTTTCTGAATCTGAATGTTGGCCTGCCTTGATAGATTGGGGAAGTTCTCCTGGATAATATCCTGCAGAGTGTTTTCCAACTTGGTTCCATTCTCCACATCACTTTCAGGTACACCAATCAGACGTAGATTTGGTCTTTTCACATAGTCCCATATTTCTTGCAGTCTTTGTTCATTTCTTTTTATTCTTTTTTCTCTAAACTTCCCTTCTCACTTTATTTCATTTATTTCAACTTCCATCACTGATACCTTTTCTTCCAGTTGATCGTATCTGCTCCTGAGGCTTCTGCATTTTTCATGTAGTTCTGGAGCCTTGGCTTTCAGCTCCATCAGCTCCTTTAAGCACTTCTCTGTGTTGGTTATTCTAGTTATACATTCGTCTAAATTTTTTCAATGTTTTTAACTTCTTTGCCTTTGGTTTGAATTTCCTCCTGTAGCTCCGAGTAATTTGATTGTCTGAAGCCTTCTTCTCTCAACTCGTCAAAGTCATTCTCCGTCCAGCTTTGTTCCATTTCTTATGAGGAACTGCATTCCTTTGGAGGAGGAGAGGCACTCTGTTTTTAGAGTTTCTAGTTTTTCTGCTCTGTTTTTTCCCCATCATTGTGGTTTTATCTACTTTTGGTCTTTTATGGTGGTGATATACAGATGGGTTTTTGGTGTGGATGTCCTTTCTGTTTGTTAGTTTTCCTTCTAAAAGACAGGACCCTCAGCTGCAGGTCTGTTGGAGTTTGCTGGAGGTCCACTCCAGATCCTGTTTGCCTGGATATCAGCAGCTGTGACTGCAGAACAGCGGATTTTCATGAACCACGAATGCTGCTGTCTGATCTTTGCTCTGGAAATTTTGTCTCAGAGGACTACCCGGCCATGTGAGGTGTCAGTCTGCCCCTACTGAGGGGTGTCTCCCAGTTAGGCTGCTCGGGGTCCAGGGGTCAGGTACCCACTTGAGGAGGCAGTCTGCCCATTCTCAGATCTCCAGCTGTGTGCTGGGAGAACCACTGCTCTCTTCAAAGCTGTCAGACAGGGACATTTAAGTCTGCAGAGGTTACTGCTGTCTTTTTGTTTGTCTGTGCCCTGCCCCCAGAGGTGGAGCCTACAGAGGAAGGCAGGTCTCCTAGAGCTGTGGTGGGCTACACCTACTTCGAGCTTTCCAGCAGCTTTGTTTACCTAAGCAAGCCTGGGCAATGGGGGGTGCCCCACCCCCAGCTTCACTGCCACCTTTTAGTTTGATCACAGACTGCTGTGCTAGCAATCAGTGAGACACCGTGGACATAGGACCCTCCAAGCAAGGTGTGGGATATAATCTCCTGGTGCGCCATTTTTTAAGCCCATTGAAAAAGTACAGTATTAGTGTGGGAGTGACTGGATTTCCCAGGTGCCGTCTGTCGCCCCTTTATTTGACTAGGAAAGGGAACTCCCTAACCACTTGCACTTCCCAAGTGAGGAAATGCCTCACTCTGCTTCTGCCCACACATGGTGCGCTGCACCCACTATCCTGCGCCAACTGTCTGGCACTCCCTAGTGGGATGAACCAGGTATCTCAGATGGAAATGAGGAAATCATTCATCTTCTGTGTCACTCATGCTGGGAGCTGTAGAACAGAGCTGTTCCTATTTGGCCATCTTGACTGCCACCTCATTTGCCAGTTGGCTTCTGTGTAGTTTTTATGTGAAAATATTTCCCTTTCCACCATAGGCCACAAAGGGCTCCAAATATCCACTTGCAGATTCTACAAAAAGAGAGTTTCAAAACTGCTCAACCAAACGAAAGTTTCAACTCTGTGAGTTGTATGCACACATCACAAAGAAGTTTCTCTGAATACTTCCACATAGTTTTTATGTGAAGGTATACCCATTTCCACCATAGGCCACAAAGCGCTCCAAATATCCACTTGCAGATTCTACAAAGTGAGTGTTTCCAAACTGCTCAATCAAAAGAAAGTTTCAACTCTGTGAGATGAATGCACACATTGCAAAGTAGTTTCTCAGAATGGTTCTGCTTAGTTTTTATGTGAAGATATCTCCTTTTACACAATAGGCCTAAAAGTCCTCCAAATATCCACTTGCTGATCCTTTAAAAAGACTGTTTCATAACTGCTTAATCAAAAGAAAGGTTCAACTCTGTGAGATGAATGCACAAATCACAAAGAAGTTTCTCAGAATGCTTCTCTGTAGTTTTTATGTGAAGATATCTCCTTTTCCACAATAGGTAGCAAATAGTTCCAAATATCCACTTGCGGATTCTACAAAAAGAGAGTTTCAAAATTGCTGAATCAAAAGATAGGTTCAAACTTGTGAGTTGAATGCACACATTGCAGAGAAGTTTCTCAGAATGCTTCTGTGTAGTTCTCATGTGAAGATATTTCCTTTTCCACCATAGGCCTCAAAGCGATCCAATCATCCACTTTAGATACTACAAAAAAAGTGTTTCCAAACTGCTCAATCAAAAGAAAGGTTCAACTCCGTGAGATGAAGGCACACATGACAAAGAATGTCCTCAGAAATCTTTTTTGTAGTTTTTATGTGAAGGTATGTCCTTTTCCACTGTAGGCCGCAAAGGGCTCCAAATATCCTCTTGCAGATTCTACAAAAAGTGAGATTCAAAACTGCTCAATCGAAAGATAGTTTCAACTCTGTTAGTTTAATGCACACTTAACAAATATGTTTCTCAGAATGCTTCTGTGTTAACAAAGATGTTTCTCATAATGCTTCTGTGTAGTTTTTATGTGAAGATATTTCCATTTCCACCATAGGACTCAAAGAGCTCCAAATATCCACCTGCAGATTCTACAAAAAGAAAGTTTCAAAACTGCTGAATGAAAAGAAAAGTTCAACACTGTGAGATGAATGCACACATCACACAGAACTTTCTTAGAATGATTCTGTGCAGCTTTTATGTGAAGATATTTCCTTTTCCACAATAGGAACCTAAGCGCTCCAAATATCAACTTGCAGATTCTACAAAAAGAGTTTTTCAAAACTGCTCAATCAAAAGAAAGGTTCAACTCTGTGAGATGAAAGCACACTTCACGAAGAGGTTTCTCGGAATGCTTCTGTGTAGATTTCATGTGAAGATATTTTCTTTTCAACTATTTGCCTCAAAGTGCTCCAATTATCCACTTGCAGATTCTACAAACAGAGTGTTTAAAAACTGCTAAATGAAAAAGAAAGATTCATCTCTGTGAGATGAATGCACACATCACCACGAAGTTTCTCAGAATGCTTCTGTGTAGTTTTTAGTTGAAGATATTCCCATTTCCACCATAGGCCACAAATGGCTCCAAATATCCACTTGCAGATTCTACAAAAAGAGTTTCAAAACTGTTCAATGAAAAAATAGGTTCAACTCCATGAGTTGAATGCACACATCACAGAGAAGTTTCTCAGAAAGCTTCTATGTAGTTTTTATGTGAAGATATTTCTTCCACACATTAGGCCTCAAAGTGCTCCAAATATTCACTTGCAGATACTTCAAAAAGATTCTTTCAAAACTGCTCAATCAAAAGAAAGGTTCATCTCTGTGAGATGAATGCTCACATCACAAAGAAGTTTCTCAGAATACTTCTGTTTGTTTTTTATGTGAAGGCATGTCCTTTTCCAAAATAGGCCACAAAAGGCTAGAAATATTCACTTGCAGATAATAGAAAAAGACAGTTTCAAAATGGCTCAATCAAATGATAGGTTCAAATCTGTGAGTTGAATGCACACATCACAAAGGAGTTTCTCAGAATACTTCTGTGTAGTTTTCATATGAAGGCATTTCTTTTTCCATCATAGGTCTCAAAGGGCTCCAAATATACAACTGCAGATACTACAAAAAGAGAGTTTCAAAACTGCTAATCAAAAGATAGATTCACATCGGTGAGTTGAATGTACACATCACAAAGAAGTTTCTCAGAATGCTTCTGTGTGGTCTTTAAGTGAAGATATTTTCTTTTCCACAATAGGCCTCAAAGCGTTCCAAATATCCACTTGCAGAATATACAAAAACAGTGTTTCAATACTGCTCAATCAAAAGACACGTTCATCCTGTGTGATGAATACACTCATCAGACAGTAGTTTCTCAGAATACTTCTGTGAAATTTTTATGTGAAGATATTTCCTTTTCCACAATAGGCCTCAAAGCACTCTGTATATCCACTTTCAGATTCTACAAAAAGAGATTAAAAACTGCTCAAACAAAACATAGGTTAAACTCTGTGAGAGGAATTCACAATTCACAAAGAAGTTTATCAGAATGCTACTGTGTAGTTTTTATTTGAAGATATTTCCTTTTCCACAATATGCATCAAAGTTCTCCAAATATCCAAATGCAGATTCTACACAAAGAGTGTTTCAAAACTGCTCAATCAAAAGAAAGGTTCAACTCTGTAAGATGAATGAACACATCACAAAGAAGTTTCTCAGAATGCTTCTGTGTAGTTTTTATGTAAATATATTTGCTGTTCAACTGTTGGCCTCAAAGCGCTCCAAATATCCACTTGCATATTCTACAAATAGAGTATTTCAAAACTGCTGAATTATAAAATAGGTTCAACCCTGTGAGATGAATGCACCCATCACAAAGAAGTTTCTCAGAATGCTTCTGTGTTGTTTTTATGTGAAGATATTTCCTTTTCCACAATAGTCCTCAAAAGGCCCCAAATATCCACTTGCAGATTCTACAAATAGAGTGTTTCATAACTGCTAAATCATAAGATAGTTTCAAATCTCTGAGATAAATGCACACATCACAAATAAGTTTATCAGGGTACTTTTGTGTAGTTTTTATGTTAAGATATTTTGTTTTCCAAAATAGGTCTCAAAACACTCCAAATATCCACTTGTGGATTCTACAAAAAGATTGTTTCAATACTGCTCTATCATAAGACAGGTTCAGCTGTGTGAGATGAATGCAGACATCACAAAGAAGTTTCCCAGAATTCTTCTGTGAAGTTTTTATGTGAAGATATTTGCTTTTCCACAGTAGGCCTCAAAACGCTCCAAATATCCATTTGAAGATTCTACAAAAACAGTGTTTCAAAACTGCTGAATCATAAGATAATTTCAACTCTGTGAGTTGAATGCACACATAACAAAGAAGTTCCTCAGAATGCTTCTGTGTAGTTTTTATTTGAAGATATTTCCTTTTCCACTTTAGGCCACAAAGGGCTCCAAATATCTGCTTGCAGATCCTACAAAAAGATTGTTTCAAAACTGCTCAATCAAAAGAAATGTTCAACTCTGTGAGATGAAGGCACACATCTCATAGAAGTTTCTCAGAATGCCTCTGTGTTGATTTTATGTGAAGATATTTTCTTCTTCAGAGTAGGCCTCAATTACTCCAAATATCCACTTGCAGACGGTTCAAAAAGAGTGTTTCCAAACTGCTCAATCAAAAGAAATGTTCAACTCTGTGAGAGGAATGCACATATCCCAGGGAAGTTTCCCAGAAATCTTCTGTGTAGTTTTTATGTGAAGATATTTCCTTTTCCACAGTAGGCCTCAAAAGGCTCCAAGTATCCACTTACAGATTCTACAAAGAGAGTGTTTCAAAACTGCTCAATCAAATGAAAGGTTCACCTCTGTGAGATGAATGCACACATCATGAAGAAGTTTCTCTGAATGCTTCTGTGTACCTTTTCTTTTAAGGTATTTCCTTTTCATTCATAGGCCACAAAGGGCACCAAATATCCAATTGCAGATTCTACGAAGAGAGATCCAATACTGCCCAATCAAAAGATAGGTTCAACTATGTGAGTTGAATGCACACATCATGAAGAAGTTTCTCAGAATGCCTCAGTGCAGTTCTTATGTGAAGATATTTGTTCTTCCACAGTAGGCTTCAAAGCGCTCTGAATATCCACTTGCAGATTCTATGAAAACAGCATTTCAGAATTGCTCAATCAAAAGAAAATTTCAACACTGTGAGATGAATGCACACATCACAAAGTAGTTTTTCAGAATGCTTCTGTGTAGTTTTTATGTGAAGATATTTCCCTTTCCACAATAGGCCTCAAAGCGCTCCAAATATCCACTTGCAGATTCTATGAAAACAGCATTTCAAAACTGCTCAATCAAAAGGAAATTTCAACTCTGTGAGATGAGTTCACACATCACAAAGAAATTTCTCACAATTCCTCCGTGTAGAGTTTATTTAAAGATATTTCCTTTTCCACCATAGGCTGATAAGGGCTCCAAATATCCGGTTGAAGATTCCACAAAAAGATTCAAAACTGCTCCACTAAGACATTGGTTCAACTCTGTGAGTTGAATGTACACATCACAAAGATGTTTCTCAGAATGCTTCTGTGTAGTTTTTATGTGAAGATATTTCCTTTTCCAAAATAGGCCTCAAAACCCTCCAAATATCCACCTGCCGATTCTACAAAAAGAGTGTTTCAAATCTGCTCAATCAAAAGAAGTTAAAATCTGTATGATGAATGCACACATCATAAAGAAGTTTCTCAGACTGCCTAAGTGTAGTTTTTACATGAAGATATTTCCTTTTCCACAGTAGGCCTCAAAGCTTTCCAAATATACACTTGCAGATTCTACAAAAAGAGTGTTTCAAAACTGCTCTATCAAAAGATAGTTTCAACACTGTGAGTTGAATGTACACATCACAAAGAAGTTTCTCAGAATGCTTCTGTGTAGTTTTGATATGAAGATATTGCCTTTTCCAAAATAGACCTCAAAGCCCTCCAAATATCCACTTGCAGTTTCTACATAAAGAGTGTTACAAAACTGTTCAATCAAAAAGAAAGGTTCAACTATGTGTGATGAATGCACTCATAACAAAGAAATTTCTCAGAAAGCTTCTGTGTAGTTTTTATGTGAAAATATTTCCTTTTCCACAATAGACCTAAAAGCACTGCAAATATTCACTCTCAGATTCTACAAAAAGAGCGATTCAAAACTGTTCAATCAAAACATAGGTTCAACTCTGTGAGTTGAATACACACATCACAAAAAGTTTCTCAGAATGCTTCTGTGTAGTTGTTATGTGAAGATATTTCCTTTTCCACACTAGGCTTCAAAGGCCTCCAAATATCCACTTGCAGATTCTGCAAAAAGAGAGATTAAAAACTGCTCCATCAAAATATAGGTTCGATTCTGTGAGTTGAATGCACACATCACAAAGAAGTTTCTCAGAATGCTTCTGTGCAGTTTTTATGTGAAGATATTTGCTTTTCCACAGTAGGCCTCAAAGTGCTCCAAATATCCACTTGAAGACTCTACAAAAACAGTGCTTCAAAACTGCTGAATCATAAGATAGTTTCAACTCTGTGAGTTGAATGCACACATAGCAAAGAAGTTCCTCAGAATGCTTCTGGGTAGTTTTTATTTGAAGATATTTCCTTTTCCTCCATAGGCCGCAAAGGGCTCCATATGACCACTTGCAAATCCTACAAAAAGAGGGAATCAAAACTGCTCAATGAAAAGATAGATTCAACTCTGTGAGTTTAATGCACATATCACAAAGTGGTTTCTCAGAATGCTTCTGTGTAGTTTTTATGTGAAGATATTTCCTTTTTCACAATAGGCCACATCGGCTCCAAATATACACTTGCAGATTCTATAAAAAGAGTGTTTCAAAACTGCCCAATCATAAGATAGGTTCAATAATGTGAGATGAAAGCACACATCACAAAGAAGTTTCTCAGAATGCTTCTGTGTAGTTTTTATTTAAAGATATTTCCTTTTCCACCATAGGCTTCAAAGTGGTCCAAACAGTCACTTGTAGATACAACAAAAAGAGTGTTTCCAAACTGCTAAATCAAAAGAAAGGTTCAACTCTGTGAGATGAAGGCACACATGACATAGAAGTTCCTCAGAAATCTTTTTTGTAGTTTTCATGTGAAGGTATTTCCTTTTCCACCATAGGCTGAAAATGGCTCCAAATATCCTCTTGTAGATTCTACCAAAAGAGAGATTCAAAACTGCTCAATCAAAAGAAAGTTTCAACTCTGTGAGTTTAATGCACACTTAACCTTAACAAAGGTGTTTCTCAGAATACTTCTGTGTAGTTTTTATGTGAAGATATTTCCATTTCCACCATAGGCCTCAAAGCTCTCCATATATCCACTTGCAGATTCTACAAACAGAAAGATTCAAAACTGCTGAATGAAAAGAAAGGTTCAACATTGTGAGATGAATGCACACATCCCACAGAAGTTTCTCAGAATGATTCTATGCAGTTTTTATGTAAAGATATTTC
Source organism: Homo sapiens (assembly GCF_000001405.40). NCBI lineage: Eukaryota > Metazoa > Chordata > Mammalia > Primates > Hominidae > Homo > Homo sapiens. Next base: position 7,273,674 of record NC_000021.9, on the reverse strand, counting down.
CTTTTCCACAATAGGAATCTAAGCGCTCCAAATATCAACTTGCAGATTCTACATAAAGAGTTTTTCAAAACTGCTCAATCAAAAGAAAGGTTCAACTCTGTGAGATGAATGCACACATCACAAAGAGGTTTCTCAGAATGCTTCTGTGTAGATTTCATTTGAAGATATTTTCTTTTCAACAATAGGCCTCAAAGCACTCCAACTATCCGCTTGCAGATTATACAGTGTTTCAAAACTGCTAAATGAAAAGAAAGATTCATCTCTGTGAGATGAACGCACACATCACCATGAAGTTTCTCAGAATGCTTCTGTGTAGTTTCGCTGTGAAGATATTTCCTTTTCCACAATAGGCCTCAAATCTCTCCAAATATCCACTCACAGATTATGCAAAAAGAGAGATTCAAAACTGCTCAATCAAAAGATAGGTTTGACTCCATGAGTTGAATGCACACAAAACAAAGAAGTTTCTCAGAATGCTGCTGTGTAGGTTTTATGTGAAGATATTTCCTTTTCCACAATAGGCGTCAAATCGATCCAAATATCCACTTGCAGATTCTACAAAGAGTGTTTCAAACCTGCTCAATCAAAACATAGGTTCAATTCTGTGAGCTGAATGCACTCAACACAAACATGTCTATCAGAATGCTTCTTTGTAATTTTTATGTGAAGATATTTCCTTTTCTGCCATAGGCCACAAAGAGCTCCAAATATCCACTTGCACATTCTACAAAAAGAGTGTTTCAAAACTGCTCAATCAAAAGAAAGGTTCAACTCTGTGAGATGAATGTACACATCACAAAGAAGTTTATCTGGTTGTTTCGGCAGAGATTTATATGAAGATACTTCCTTTTCTACCATTGGTCACAAAGGGCTCCAAACGTCCACTTGCAGATTCTACAGAAAGAGTGTCTCCAAACTGCCCAATCAAAAGGAAGGTTCATCTGTGTGAGATGGACGCATGTATCAGAAAAAAGTTTCACAGAATTCTTCTCTCCAGTTTTCATGTGAAGATATTTGCTTTTCCACCAGAGGCCTCAAAGCCCTCCAAATGTCCACTTGAAGATTCTACAAAAAGAGTGTTTCCAAATTGCTCCATGAAAAGAAACTTTGAACACTGTGAGATGAACGCACACATCACAAAGAAGTTTCTCAGAACTCTTCTGTCTAGTTTTTATGTGAAGATATTTCCTTTTCCACCATAGGCCTCAAAGCACTCCAAATATCCACTTGCAGATTTTACAAAAGGAGAGTTTCAAAACTCCTCAATCAAAAGAAAGGTTTAACTCTCTTAGACAAAAGCACACGTCACAAGGACGTTTGTCAGGTTGATTCTGTCTAGATTTTATGTGAAGATATTTCCTTTTCTACCACAGGCCCCAAAGCGTTCCAAATATCCACTTGTAGATTCCACAAAAAGAATGTTTCCAAACAGCTCAATCAAAAAAGAGGTTCACCTCTGTAAGATGAATGCACGCATCACAAAGAAGTTTCTCAGAATTCTTCTGTTTAGTTTTTATGTGAAGATATTTCCTTTTCCACCAGAGGCCTTAATGCCCTCCAAATATCGACTTGCGGATTCTACAAAAAGAGAGTTTCAAAACTCCTCAATCAAAAGAAAGGTTTAACTCTCTCAGGGGCATGCACAAAACACAAAGTAGTTTCTCTGATTGCTTATGTCTAGATTTTATGTGAAGATAGTTCCTTTTCTACCATAGGTGGCAAAGCACTCCAAATGTACACTTGCAGATTCTCCAAATAGAGGGTTTACAAACTTCTCAATCAAAAGAAAGGTCCAACTCTGTGAGATGAATGCACACATCACATAGAAGTTGCTCAGAATACTTGTGTCTAGTTTTTATGTGAAGATATTTCATTTTCCACCATAGTCCTCAAGGTGCTCGAAATGTCCAACTGCAAATTCTACAAAAAGACTATTTCATAATTGGTCCATCAGAAAAAAAGGTTTAACTCTGGGAAATGATTGCACACATCACAAAGAAGTTTCTCTGAATGCTTCTATCTAGTTTTTATGTGAAGATATTTCCTTTTACACCATAGGCCTCAAAGTGCTCCAAATGTCCACTTGCAGATTCTACAAAAATAGAGTTTCAAAAATGCTCAATCAAAAGAAATGGTTAACTCTGTGAGATGAATGCACACAAGAAAAACTCGTTTCTCAGAATGGTTCTGTCTAGATTTTTTGTGAAGATATTTCCTTTTCTACCATAGGCCGCAAAGTGCTCCAAATGTCCACTTGCAGGTTCTACAAAAAGAGTGTTTCCAAACTGCTCAATCAAAAGAAAGGTTCAACTCTGCCAGATGAATGCACACATCACAAAGAATTCTCTCAGAATTCTTCTGGCTAGTTTTTATGTGAAGATAATTCCTTTTCTTCCATAGGCCTAAAAGCATTCCAAATGTCCACTTGCAGATTCTGCAAAAAGAGATTTCTAAAGCTGCTCAATCAAAAGGAAGGTTTAAGTCTGTGAGATGAAAGCACACATCACAAAAAGTTTCTCAGATTGCTTCTGTCTAGATTTTATATGAAGTTATTTCCTTTTCCACCATAGAACAATAAGCGTTCCAACTGCCCCTTGCAGATTCTACAAAAACAGTGTTTCCAAACTTCTCAATCAAAAGAAAGATTCAACTCTGTGAGATGAATGCACACATCACAAAGAACTTTCTCAGAATGCTTCTGTCTAGTTTTTATATGAAGATATTTCATTTTCCACCATAGGCCTCAAGGCACTCAAAATGCCCCCTGGCAGATTCTACAAAAGGAGAATTTCGAACCTGGTCCATCAAAAGAAAGTTTCACCTCCTTGAGATGAATGCACACATCACAAAGAGGTTTCTCAGAATGCTTCTGTCTAGTTTCTATGTGAAGATATTTCCTTTTCCACCGTAGGCCTCAAGGCGCTCAAAATGTCCACTTGCAGATCCTACAAAAACAGTATTTCAAAACTGGTCCATCCAAAGAAAGGTTCAACTCTGGGAGATGGATGCACACATCACAAAGAAGTTTCTCAGAACGCTTCTATCTTGTTTTTATGTGAAGATATTTCCTTTTCCACCATAGGCCCCAAAGCCTTCCAAATGTCCAATTGCAGATTCTACAAAAAGAGAGTTTCAAAAGTGCTCAATCATAATAAAGGCTTAACTCTGTGAGATGAATGCACACATCACAGAGAAGATTCTCAGATTACTTCTGTCTAGATTGTATGTAAAGATATTTCCCTTTCTACCATAGGCTACAAAACACTCCAAATGTCCACTTGCAGATTCTACAAAAAGAGAGTTTCCAAACTGCTCAATCAAAGGTTCAACTCTGTGAGATGAACACACATATAAAAAAGAAGTTTCTCAGAATTCTTCTGTTTATTTTTTAAGTGAAGATATTTCCTTTTCCATCATAGGCCTCAAGGTGCTACAAATGTCCACTTGCAGATCCTACAAAAAGAGAGTTTTAAAAGTGCTCAATCAAAAGAAAGGTTTTACTCTGTAAGGTGAATGCACACATCACAAAGAATTTTCTCAGATTGCTTCTGTCTAGATTTTATGTGAAGATATTTCCTTTTCTACCATAGGCCACAAAGTGCTCCAAATGTCCACATGCAGATTCTACAATAAGAGTGTTTCAAAACTGCTCAATCAAAAGAAAGGTTCAACTCTGTGAAATGAACGCACACATTACAAAGAAGTTTCTCAGAATTCTTCTGTCTAGTTTTTATGTGAAGATATTTCCTTTTCCACCTTAGGCCTCAAAGCGCTCCAAGTGTCCAACTGCAGATTCAACAAAAAGAGAGTTTCAAAACTGCTCAATCAAAAGAAAGGTTTCACTTAGTGAGATGAATGCACACATCACAGAGAAGTTTCTAAGATTGCTTCTGTCAAGATTTTATATGAAGATATTTCACTTTCACCTTAGGCCTCAAGGTGCTCGAAATGCCCCCTGGCAGATTCTACAAAAGGAGTATTTCAAACCTGGTCCATCAAAAGAAAGTTTCAACTCTTTGAGATGAATGCACACATCACAAAGAAGTTTCTCAGAATGCTTCTGTCTAGTTTTTATGTGAACATATTTCCTTTTCCACTGTAGGCCTCAAAGCACTCCCAATGTCAATTTGCAGATTCTACAAAAAGAGAATTTCAAAACTACTCCATCAAAAGTAAGGTTTCACTCTGTGAGATGAATGCACACATCACAAAGAAGTTTCTCAGATTGCTTCTGTCTGGATTTTCTGTGAAGAGATTTCCTTTTCTACCATAAGCCTCAAAGCACACCAAATGTCCATTGGCAGATTCTACAAAAAGAGTGTTTCCAAACTGCTCAATCAAAAGAAAGTTTCACCTGTGTGATATGAACGCACAAATCACAAAGAAGTTTCTCAGAATTCTTCTGTCTCATTTTTATCTGAAAGTATTTCTTTTCCCTCTATAGGCCTCAGGGTGCTCGAAATGTCCACTTGCAGATTCTACAAAAAGAGTATTTCAAAACTGGTCCATTAAAAGAAAGCTTCAACTCTGGGAGATGAATGCACACATCATGAAGAAGTTATTCAGAATGCTTATGTCTAGTTTATTTTTGAAGATATTTCCTTTTCCACCATCGGCCTCAAAGCCCTCCAAATGTCCACTTCCAGATTACACAAAAAGAGAGTTTCAAAACTGCTGAATCAAAAGAAAGGCTTTACTCTGGAATATGAATGCACGCATCACAAAGAAGATTTTCAGATAGCTTCTGTCTAGATTTTATGTGTAGATATTTCCTTTTCTACCATAGGCTGCAAAACGCTCCAAATGTCCACTTGCAGATTCTACAAGATAAAGTGTTTCCAAACTCCTCAATCAAAAGAAAGGCTCAACTCTTTGAGATGAACACACGCATCAAAAAGAAGTTTCTCAGAATTATTCTGTCTAGTTTTTATGTGAGAATATTTCTTTTTCCATCATAGGACTCAAAGTTCTCCAAATGTCCATTTGCAGGTTCTACAAAAAGAGAGTTTCCAAACTGCTCAATCAAAAGAAAGGTTTAACTCTGTCAGATGAATGCCTACATCACAAAGAAGTTTCTCAGATTGCTTCTGTCTAGATTTTAAATGAAGATATACCCTTTTCTACCATTGGCCCCAAGGCGTTCCAAATGTCCACTTGCAGATTCTACAAAAAGAGTATTTCAAAACTGATACATCAAAAGGAAGGTTCAGCTCTTGGAGATGAATGCACACTTCACAAAGAAGTTTCTCAGATTGCTTCTGTCTAGACTTAAGATGAAGATATTTCCCTTTCTACTATAGGCCGCCAAGCACTCCAAATGTCCACTGGCAGATTCTACGAAAAGAGTGTTTCCAAACTGCTGAATCAAAAGAAAGTTTCAACTCTGTGAGATGAACGCACATATCACAAAGAAGTTTTTCATAGTTCTTCTGTCTAGTTTTTATGTGAAGATATTTCCTTTTCCACCTTAGTCCTCAAAGCCCTCAAAATGTCCACTTGCAGATTCTACAAAAAGAGAGTTGCAAAACTGCTCAATCAAAAGAAAGGTTCAACTCTGTCAGATGAATGCACACATCACAAAGAAGTTTCTCAGGTTGCTGCGGCAGAGATTTATATGAAGATATTTCCTTTTCTGCCATAGGCCACAAAGGTCTCCAAATATCCACTTACAGATTCTAAAGAAGGAGAGTCTCCAAACTGCTCAATCAAAAGAAGGTTCATCTGGGTGAGATGAACGCCCACAACAAAAGAACTTTCACAGAATTCTTCTCTCTAGTTTTCATGTGAAGATATTTCCTTTTTCACCATAGGCCTCAAAGCCCTCCTAATGTCCACCTGAAGATTCTAGAAAATGAGTGTTTCCAAAATGCTCCATCAAAAGAAACTTTGAACTCTGTGAGATGAACGCAAACATCACCAGTAGTTTTTCAGAATTCTTCTGTCTAGTTTTTTTGTGAAGATATTTTCTTTTCCACCATAGGTATCAAATCGCTCTAAACATCCACTTGCAGATTCTACAAAAAGAGAGGTTCAAAACTGCTCAATATAAAGAAAGTTTTAACTCTGTGACATGAATGCACACATCAGAAAGAAGTTTCTCAGATTGCTTCCTTCTAGATTTTATGTGAAGATATTTCCTTTTCTACCACAGGCCACAAAGCACTCCAAATGGCCATTTGCAGATCCTACAAATGATTGTTTCCAAACTGCTCAATCAAAAGAAAGATTCAACTCTGTGAGATGAACGCACACATCACAAAACAGTTTCTCAGAATTCTTCTGTCTAAATTTAATATAAAGATATTTTCTTTTCCACCAAAGGCCTCAAAGCCCACCAAATGTTCACTTGCAGATTCTACAAAAAGAGAATTTCAAAACTGCTCAATCCAAAGAAAGGTTTAACTCTGTGAGATGAATGCACTCATCACAAAGAAGTTTCTCAGATTGCTTCTGTCTAAATTTTATGTGAAGATATTTGTTTTCTACCTTAGGCCGCAAAGTGCTCCAAATGTCCACTTGCAGATTTTACAAAAAGAGTGTTTCCAAACTACTCAATCCAAACAAAGGTTCAAATCTGTGAGATGAACGCATGCATCACAAAGAAGGTTCTCAGAATTCTTCTTTCTAGTTTTTATGTGAAGATATTTCCTTTTCCACCGTAGGCCTCATATCTGTTCAAACGTCCACTTGCAGATTATATAAAAAGAGAGTTCAAAACTGCTCAGTCAAAATAAAGGTTTAACTCTGTGAGATGAATGCACATATCACAAAGAAGTTTCTCAGATTGCTTCCGTGTAGATTTTAATTGAAGATTATTCTTTTTCTACCATTGACTGCAAAGCATACAAATTTTCCACTTGCAGATTCGCCAAAAGAGTGTTTCCAAACTTCTCAATCAAAAGAAAGGTTCAGCTCTGTGAGATGAATGCACACATCACAATTGAAGTTTCCTGGAATTATTCTGTCTAGTTATTACGTGAAGATATTTCATTTTCCACCATAGGCCTCAAGGCGTTCCAAATGTCCACTTGCAGATTCCACAAAAAGATTATTTCAATACTGGCCCATCAAAAGAAATGTTGAACTCTGGGACATGAATGCACTCATCACAAAGGAGTTTCTCAGAATGCTTCTAATTAGTTTTTATCTGAAGATATTTCTTTTCCTCCATAGGCCTCAAAACTCTCCAAATATACTCTTGCAGATTCTGCGAAAAGAGTGTTTCCAAACTGCTCAATAAAAGAAAGGTTCAACTCTGTGAGATGAACGTACACATCAAAAAGAAGTTTCTCAGAAATCTGTTTAGTTTTTAGGTGAAGATATTTCCATTTCCTTCATAGGCCTCAAAGCGCCTTAAACGTCCACTAACAGATTCTAAAAAAACAAACAAACAAACAAAAAAAAAACTGCTCAATTAAAAAGAAAGGTTTAACTCTGTGACTTGAATACATACATCATGGTGAAGTTTCTCAAATTGCTTCTGTCTAGATTTTATGTGAAGATATATCCTTTCCTATCATAGGTCTCAAAGCACTCCAAATGTCCACTTGCAGATTCTACAAAAGAGAGTTTCAAAAGTGCTCATTCAAAGAAAATTTTAACTCTATGAGATGAATGCAGACATCACAAAGAAGTTTCTCAGATGGCTTCTGTCTAGATTTTATGTGAAGATATTTCTTTTTTTATCATAGGCCGAAAAGCACTCCAAATGTCCACTTGCAGATTCCACAAAAAGAGTTTCAAAACTGCTCAATCAAAAGAAAGGTTTAACTCTGTGAGATGAATGCACACATCAGAAAGAATTTTCTCAGATTGCTTCTGTCTAGATTTTATGTGAAGATATTTCCTTTTCTACCATAGGCCACAAAGCCCTCTGAATGTCCACTTGCAGATTCTACAAAAAGCATGTTTCCAAACTGCTCAATGAAAAGAAAGTTTCAACTCTGTGAGATGAACAGACACATCACAAGGAAGTTTCTCAGATTTCTTCTGTCTAGTTTTTATGTGAAGATATTTCCTTTTCCACCATAGGCCTGAAAATGCTGCACTTGTCTACGTCCAGATTCTACAAAAAGAGAGTTTCAAAACTGCTCAATTAAAAAAAGGTTTTAACTCTGTGTGATGAATGCACACATCACAAATAAGTTTCTCAGGTTGCTTCTGTCGAGATTTTATGTGAAGATATTTCCTTTTCTACCATAGGCCACAAAGCCCTCTGAATGTCCACTTGCAGATTCTACAAAAAGAGTGTTTCCAAACTGCTCAATCAAAAGAAATGTTCAACTCTGTGAGGTGAATGCACGCATCACAAAGAAGTTTCTCAGAATTCTTCTGTTTAGTTTTTACGTGAAGATATTTCATTTTCCACCATAGGCCTCAAGGTGTTCAAAATGTCCACTTGCAGATCCAACAAAAAGAGTATTCCAAAACTGACCCATCAAAAGAAAGCTTAAACTCTGGGTATGAATGCACACATCATGAAGAGGTTTCTCAGATTTCTTCTGTCTAGATTTTATGTGAAGATATTTCCTTTTCTACCATAGGCCGCAAAGCACTCCAAATATCCACTTGCAGATTCTACAAGAGTGTTTCCAAACTGCTCATCCAAAAGAATGGTTCAACTCTGTGAGGTGAACACACACATCACAAAAACTATCTCAGAATTCTTCTGTTTAGTTTTTATGTGAAGATATTTCCTTTTCCACCACAGGCCTCAAACTGCTCCAAATGTCCACTTGCAGACTTAAAAAAGAGAGTTTCAAAACTTCTCAATCAAAAGAAAGTTTTAACTCTATGAGATGAATGCACACATCACGAGGAAGTTTCTCAGATTTCTTCTGTCTAGATTTTATGTGAAGATATTTCCTTCTCTATCATAGGCCAAAAAGCTTTCCAAATGTCCACCTGCAGATACTACAAAAAGAGTGTTTCCAAACTCCTCAATCAAAAGAATGGTTCAACTCTTTGAGGTGAATGCACACATCACAAAGAAGTTTCTCAGAATTATTCTATCTAATATTTGTGTGAAGATATTACATTTTCCACCATAGGACTCAAGGTGCTCGAAATGTCCACTTGCAGTTTCCACAAAAGAGAGTTTCAAAACTGCTCTATCAAAAGAAAGGTTTAACTCTGTGAGATGAATGTACACATCACAAAGATGTTTCTCAGAATGTTTCTATCTGATTTTTATGTGAAGATATTTCCTTTTCCACCATAGGCTTCAAAACACACAAAATGTCCACTTACAGATTCTACAAAAAGAGAGTTTCAAGACTGCTCAATCAAAAGAAAGGTTTAACTCTGTGAGATAAATGAACACATTACAAGGAAGTTTCTCAGATTGCTTCTGTCTAGATTTTATGTGAAGATATTTCCTTTTCCAGCATACGCCTCAAGGCGTACAATATGTCTGCTAGCGGATTCTTCAAAAAGAGGATTTCAAAACTGGTCCTTCAGAAGAAAGATTAAACTTTGAGATACGAATGTACACATCACAAAGAGGTTTCTCAGAATTCTTCTGTCCAGTTTTTATGTGAAGATATTTTCTTTTCCACCATAGGCCTCAAGACACTCGAATTGTCCACTTGCAGATTCTACAAAAACAGTATTTGAAAACTGGTCCTTCAAAAGAAATGCTCAAGTCAGGGACACGAATGCACATATCACAAAGAAGTTTCTCAGAAAGCTTCTATCTGGTTTTTATGTGAAGATATTTCCTTTTACACCATAGGCTTCAAAGCGCTCCAAACGTCCACTTGCACATTCTACAAAAAGAGAGTTTCAAAACTGCTCCATCAAAAGAAAGGTTCAAATCTGTGAGATGAACGTATGAATCACAAGGAAGTTTCTCAGAACTCTTCTCTCTAGTTTTTATGTGAAGGTATTTCCTTTTCCACCATAGGCCTCAAAGTGCTCCAAATGTCCAATTGCTAGATCTACAAAAAGATAGTTTCAAAACTTCTCCATCAAAAGAAATGTTTAACTCTGTGATATGAATGCACACATCACAAAGAAGTTTCTCAGGTTGCTTCTTTCTAGATTTTATGTGAAGATATTTCCTTTGCTACCATAGGTTGCAATGCACTCCAAATGTCCACTTGCAGATTCTACAAAAAGAATGTTCAAAACTGGAACAGACCTGCAGCTGAGGGTCCTGTCTGTTAGAAGGAAAACTAACAAACAGAAAGGACATCCACAACAAAAACCCATCTGTACATCACCATCATCAAAGACCAAAAGTAGATAAAACCACAAAGATGGGGAAAAAACAGAGCAGAAAAACTGGAAACTCTAAAAAGCAGAGTGCCTCTCCTCCTCCAAAGGAACGCAGTTCCTCACCAGCAACGGAACAAAGCTGGATGGAGAATGACTTTGATGAGCTGAGAGAAGAAGGCTTCAGATGATGAAATTATTCTGAGCTACGGAAGGACATTCAAACCAAAGGCAAACAAGTTGAAAACTTTGAAAAAAATTTAGAAAAATGTAGAACTAGAATAACCAATACAGTGAAGTGCTTAAAGGAGCTGATGGAGCTGAAAACCAAGGCTCGAGAACTACGTGAAGAATGCAGAAGCCTCAGGAGCCGATGCGATCAACTGGAAGAAAGAGTATCAGCGATGGAAGATGAAATGAATGAAATGAAGTTAGAAGGGAAGTTTAGAGAAAAAAGAATAAAAAGAAATGAGCAAAGCCTCCAAGAAATATGGGACTATGTGAAAAGACCAAATCTACGTATGATTGGTGTACCTGAAAGTGATGGGGAGAATGGAACCAAGTTGGAAAACACTCTGCAGGCAGTCCAACGTTCAGATTCAGGAAATACAGAGAACGCCACAAAGATACTCCTCGAGAAGAGCAACTCCAAGACACATCATTGTCAGATTCACCAAAGCTGAAATGAAGGAAAAAATGTTAAGGGCAGCCAGAGAGAAAGGTCGGTTACCCTCAAAGAGAAGCCCATCAGACTAACAGTGGATCTCTCGGCAGAAACCCTACAAGCCAGAAGAGAGTGGGGGCCAATATTCAACATTCTTAAAGACAAGAATTTTCAACCCAGAATTTCATACCCAGCCAAACTAAGCTTCATAAGTGAAGGAAAAATAAAATACTTTACAGACAATCAAATGTTGAGAGATTGTGTCACCAGCAGGCCTGCCCGAAAAGAGCTCCTGAAGAAAGCACTAAACATCGAAAGGAACAACCGGTACCAGCCGCTGCAAAATTATGCCAAAATGTAAAGACCATCGAGACTAGGAAGAAACTGCATCAACTAACGAGCAAAATCACCAGCTAACATCATCATGACAGGATCAAATTCACACATAACAATATTAACTTTAAATGTAAATGGACTAAATGCTCCAATTAAAAGACACAGACTGGCAAATTGGATAAAGAGTCAAGACCCATCAGTGTGCTCTATTCAGGAAACCCATCTCACGTGCAGAGACACACATAGGCTCAAAATAAAAGAATGGAGGAAGATCTACCAAGCAAATGGAAAACAAAAAAAGGCAGGGGTTGCAATCCTAGTCTCTGATAAAACAGACTTTAAACCACCAAAGATCAAAAGAGACAAAGAAGGCCATTACATAATGGCAAAGGGATCAATTCAACAAGAAGAGCTAACTATCCTAAATATATATGCACTCAATACAGGAGCACCCAGATTCATAAAGCAAGTGCTTAGTGACCTACAAAGAGACTTAGACTCCCACACATTAATAATGGGAGACTTTAACACCCCACTGTCAACATTAGACAGATCAACAAGACAGAAAGTCAACAAGGATACCCAGCAATTGAACTCAGCTCTGCACCAAGCGGACCTAATAGACAACTATTCTACCGCACTCCACTAAACTCCACTCCACTCCAGTCCACTCGATTACTTTAAATTCCATTCCACTCCATTACACTGCAGTCTGATCCACTCCACTCAACTCTACTCCACTCCACTCCATTCCATTCCATTCTGTTGCATTCTCCTCTGTTCCGTTGCATTCCACTCCATTCCATTACACTCCAAACCACTACATTCCACTCCACTGCACTCCACTCCACTGCACTCCACTCCACCCCACTCCATTCCACTACACTCCATTCCACTCCTCTCCATTCCACTCCACTCCACTCCATTCCACTACATTCCTTTCCATTCCATTCCATTCCATTCCTTTCCATTCCACAGCAATCCGATCCACTCCACTCAACTCCATTCCACTCCACTCCTTTCCGTCCGTTCTATACCATTCTGTTCCATTCATTCCATTCTGTTCCTTTCCATTGCATTCCAATCCACTCCATTCCATTCCACTCTATTCCAGTTTACTCAACACCACTCCATTCCATTCCACTCCTATCCACTCCACCCCACTCCACTCCATTCCATTCCATTCCATTCCATTCCATTCCATTCCATTCCATTCCATTCCATTCCACTGCACTCCGATCCACTCCACACAATTCCACTCCATTCCACTCCATTCCATTCCGTTCCATTCCATTCTGTTCTGGTACGTTCCTTTCCATTCCATTAAACTCCATTCCATTCCACTCCACTCCACTCCACTCCATTTCACTCCATTCTACTCCATTCCACTTCCCTCCACTACAATCCACTCCAATACACTCCACTCCATTCCACTCCATTCATTCCATTCCAATCCATTCCATTCCAATTCATTCCACTCCCTTCCACTCCAGTCCACTCCATTCCATTCCACTGCACCCCATTCCACTCACTCCCCTCCACTCCATTCCACTCCACTTCATTCCACTCTATTTCTTCCACTCCACTCCACTCCATTTCATTCCATTCCACTCCATTCCACTCCACTCCAATCCACTCCCCTCCATTCCACTCCACTCCATTCTATTCCACTTCATTCCATTCCACTCCACTCCATTCCATTATATTCTACTGCATTTCAATCCATTCTTTTACTTCGACTATATCTCACTCTGTCTCCCAGACTAGAGTGCAGTGGCACAATCTTAGCTCACATTTCATTGCATGATTCCACTCCATTTCATTCAATTGCATTTCATTCCATTCCATTCCACTGCTATCCCATCCACTCCACTCAACTCCACTCCACTCCATTCCGTTCCATTCCATTCCATAGCATTCTGATCCATTTCATTCCATTCCACTCCACTCCATTTCATTCCACTCCATTCCACTCCATTCCACTCCACTCCACGCCACTGCTCTAAACTCTAATCCATTCCATTCCACTCCACTCCAATAAAATCCACTCCACTCAACTAAATTTCATTAAATTATTTTCCATTCCATTCCAAAGCATTCCCATCCATTCCACTCAACTCTACTCCACTCAACTCCACTCCGTTCCATTCCTTTCCACTCTGTTCAGTTTGGTTCCGTTCCATTCCACTCCATTCCATTCCACACCACTCCACTCCTTTCCACTCCACTGCACTCCACTCCACTCCATTCCACTCCAATCCACTGCACTCCACTCCACTCCATTCCACTACACTCCTTTCCATTCCATTCCATTCCATTCCATTCCATTCCATTCCATTCCTTTCCTTTCCATGGCAATCCAATCCATTCCAGTCAACTCCACTCCACTCCATTCCAATACACTCCTTTCCATTCCATTCTATTCCATTCCATTCCATTCCATTCCATTCCTTTCCTTTCCTTTCCATGGCAATCCAATCCATTCCAGTCAACTCCACTCCACTCCATTCCTTTTCATTCCATTCCATTCCGTTCTATTCTATTCCATTCCACTCCATTCCATTCCATTCCACTCCACTGCATTTCATTCCACTCCATTCAACTACACTCCACTCCACTCGAATCCACTCCAATACATTCCATTCCATTCCATTCCATTTCATTCCACTGCACTCCGATCCACTCCACTCAACTCCACTCCACTCCATTCGATTCCATTCCGTTCTGGTCAGTTCCATTCTGTTCCATTCCACTCCATTTCATTCCGCTCCACTCCACTCCACTCCATTTCACTCCATTAGACTCCACTCTGTTCCATTCCATTCCATTCCATTCCATTCCATTCCATTCCTTTCTGTTCCTTTCCATTCCATTCCACTCCACTACATTCCATTCCACTCCATTCCACACTACTGCACTCAACTCCACTCAATCCACCCCACGCCACTCCCCTAAATTCCATTCTATTTCATTCCATTCCATTCCATTCCATTCCATTTCATTCCACTGCATTCCGATCCGCTCCACCCTACTCCACTCCACTCGATTCCACTCCAATCTATTCTGTTCCATTCCATTTCATTCCCTTCCATTCCTTTCCATTTCATTCCATTCCATTCCATTCCTTTCCACTCCACTCCATTCCTTTCCACTCCATTCCACTCCACTCCATTCCACTCCACACCACTCCACTCCATTCTATTCCACTCCATTCCATTACAATCCACTGCACTTCATTGTCTTCCATTCCGTTCCATTCCATCCCACTGCACTGCATTCCATTCCACTCCATTCCACTACACTACACTACACTACACTACACTACATTTTATTGCACTCCATTCCATTACATTCCACTCCATTCCATTCCATTCCACTCCATTCCATTCCATTCCATTCCACTCAATTTAACTCCATTCCATTCCGCTCAATTCCGCTCCACTCATTCCACTACACTCCACTCCCCTCCATTCCACTCCACTCCACTCCATTCCATTCCATTCCATTCCACTCAACTCCATTCCATTCCATTCTACTCCATTCCATTCCATTCCTTTGTTTCGACTGGATCTAACTCTGTCACCCACACTGGAGTGCAGTGGCACAATCTTAGCTCACATTTTATTTCATAGTTGCATTCCATTCCATTTCATTCCATTCCATTCCATTCCATTCCATTCCATTCCATTCCCCTGCACTCCGATCCACTCCACTAAACTCCACTCCACTCCACTCTGTTCTGTTCCGTTCCATTCTATTCCGTTCCATTCCATTCCATTTCTTTCCTTTCCATTCAATTCCACTCCACTCCATTCCATTCCACTCCACTCCACTCCATTCCATTCCATTCAATTCCATTCTACTGCACTCCGATCCCCTCCACTCAACTCCATTCCGCTCCACTCTGTCCCCTTCCATTCCATTCTCTTCCGTTCTGTTCCGTTCCATTTC
The DNA here is from genome assembly GCF_000001405.40 of Homo sapiens. NCBI lineage: Eukaryota > Metazoa > Chordata > Mammalia > Primates > Hominidae > Homo > Homo sapiens. The sequence goes on along the minus strand of NC_000021.9, from coordinate 7,258,508 downwards.
ATTCCATTCCATTCCACTCCACTCCGTTCCACTCCACTCCATTTCACTATATTCCACTCCACTCCACTGCACTCCACTCCAGTACATTTCATTGCACTACATTCCATTATATTCCCCTCCATTCCATTCCATTCCATTCCATTCAACTCCAATGCATTCCATTCCATTCCACTCCATTCCATTCCATTCCATTCCACTCCATTCCATTCCACTCAATTCCACTCCATTCCATTCTGCTCCACTCATTCCACCACACTCCACTACTCTCCATTCCACTCCACTCCAATCCACTCCACTCCATTCCATCCATTCCACTCCACTCCATTCCATTCCATTCTACTCCATTCCATTCCATTCCTTTATTTCGACTGGTCTACCTCTGTCACCCAGACTGGAGTGCAGTGACACAATCTTAGCTCACATTTCATTTCTTCGTTGCATTCCATCCTGTTTCATTCCATTCCATTCCATTCATTTCCATTCCCCTGCACTCCGAACCACTCCACTCAACTCCACTGCACTCCACTCCACTCCACTCCATTCTGTTCCATTCCATTCCATTCCATTCCGTTTCACTCCACTCCATTCCATTCAACTCCACTCCACTCCACTTCATTCCATTCCATTCCCCTCCACTCCGATCCCCTCCAATCAACTCCATTCCACTCCACTCTGCTCCTTTCAATTCCATTCCATTCTCTTCCTTTCCATTCCTTTCCATTCCATTCCATTCCATTCCATTCCATTCCATTCCATTCCATACCATTCCACTCCACTCTATTTCATTCCACTCTATTCAACTTCTTACCACTCCCCTCCACTCCACTCTATTCCATTCCAGTCCATTCCATTCAATTCCACTGCACTCTGATCAACTCCACTCCACTCCACTCCACTAGATTCCTTTAAGTTCCGTTCCATTCCTTTCTGCTCCATTCCGTTACATTCAACTCCATTCCATTCCATTCCACTTCATTCCACTCCACTCTATTTCACTCCATTCCACTCCACTCCACTCCAATCCATTCCAATCCATTCCATTCCTTTCCATTCCACTGCACTCTGATACACTCCACTCAACTCCATTCCACTCCCCTCTACTCCACTCTGTTCCACTCCATTCCATTCCATTCTGTTCCATTCCATTCCATTCCACTCCACTCCATTGCATTCCAATCCTTACCACTCCAATCCACTCCACTTTTCTCCACTCCACTACCCAGAAGCATTCTGAGAAACTTCTTTGTGAGGTGTGCAGTCAACTCACAGATTTGAACCTATCTCTTGAATGAGCAGTTTTGAATCTCTCTTTTTGCAGAATCTGCAAGTGGATATTTGGAACTTTTTGAGGCCTAATGAGGGAAAGCAAACATCTACACCTAAAAATTACACAGAAGCATTGTGAGAATCTTTTTTGTTAGGTGTGCATTCAACTCACAGAGTCGAAAATATCTTTTGATTGAGCTGTTTTGAATCACTCTTTTTGCAGAATCTGCAAGTAGATATTAAAGACCTCTGAGGTCTTCTGTGGAAAAGGAAATATCTTCAGATAATAACTACACAGAAGCATTCTGAAAAACTTCTTTGTGATGTGTGCATTCAACTCAAAGAGTTGAACCTATCTTTGGATTGAGCAGTTTTGAATCTCTCTTTTGGCAGAATCTGCAAGTGGATATTTGGAGAGCTTTCAGGCCTACTGTGGAAAAGCAAATATCTTCAAATACAAACTACACAGAAGCATTCTGAGAAACTTCTCTGTGAGGTGTGCATTCAACGCACAGAGTCAAACCACTCTATTGATTGAGCAGTTTTGAATCTCTCTTTTTGTAGAATCTGCAAGGGGATAGTTGGAGAGCTTTGAGGCCTATTGTGGAAAAGGAAGTATCTTCAAATAAAAACTACACAGAAGCATTATGAGAAAATTCTTTGCGATGTGTCCATTCAACTCACAGAGTTGAACTTATCTCTTGATGGAGCAGTTTTGAATCTCTCTTTTTGTAGAATCTTCAAGTTGATATTTGGAGCCCTTTGTGGCCTACGGTGGAAAAGGAAATATCTTCACATAAAAACTACACAGAAGCATTCTGAGAAAGTTATTTGTGATGTGTGCATTCATCTCACAGGGTTGAACCTATCTTATGATTGAGCAGTTTTGATACACTCTTTTTGTTTAATGAGCAAATGGATATTTGGAGCGCTTTGAGGCCTACTGTGGAATCGCAAATATCTTCACCTAAAAACTACACAAAATCATTCTGAGAAACTATTTGTGACGTGTGCATTCAACTCACAGAGTTGAACCTATGTTTTGATTGAGCCGTTTTTAAACTCTCTTTTGGTACAATCTGCAACTTGATATTTGGAGCCCTTTGTGCTTTATGGTTGAAAAGGAAATATCTTCACATACAAACTACACAGAAGCGTTCTGAGAAACTACTTTGTGATGTGTGCATTCCACTGACAGTCGAACCTCTCTTTTGATGGAGCAGTTTTGAATCTCTTTTTGCAGAATCTGCAAGTGGATATTTGGAGAGCTTTGAGGCCTATTGGGGAAAAGGAAATATCTTCATGTAAAAACTACACAGAAGCATTCTGAGAAACTTCTTTGTGATGTGTGCATTCAACTGACAGAGTTGAACCTAGCTTTTGATTAAACAGTTTTGAATCTCTTTTTTTGTAGAATCTGTGAGTGGATATTTGGAGCCCTTTGTGGCCTATGGTGGAAAAGGAAATATGTTCAAATAAAAACTACACAGAAGCATTCTGAGAAACTTCGTTTTGATGTGTGCATTCATCTCACAGGACGAACCTACCTTATGATTGAGCAGTTTTGAAACACTCTTTTTGTAGAAATCAGCATGTGGATATTTGGAGCACTTTGGGGCCTATTGTGGAAAAGCAAATATGTTCACATAAACACTACACAGAAGCATTCAGAGAAACTTCTTTGTGATGTGTGCATTCACCTCACAGAGTTGATTCTTTATTTTGATGGAGCAGTTATGAAACACTGTTTTTGTAGAGTCTGCAAGTGGATATTTGGAGCGATATCAGCCCTATTGTGGAAAAGGAAATATCTTAACATAAAAGCTACACAGAAGCATTCTGATAAACTTCTTTGTGATGTGTGCATTCAATTCACAGAGTTGAACCTTTCTTTTGATTGAGCAGTATTGAATCTCCTTTTTTTTGGAATCTGCAATTGGATATTTGGAGCCCTTTGCGGCCTATGGTGGAAAAGGAAATACCTTCAAATAAAAACTACACAGAAGCATTCTGAGAAACTTCTTTGTGATGTGTCCATTCATTTCACAGAATTGATCCTTTCTTTTTATTCAGCAGTTTTGAAACAATCCTTTTATAGAATCTGCAAGTACATAATTGGAGCACTTTGAGGCCTACCGTGGAAAAGCAAATATCTTCACATAAAAACTACACAGAAACATTCTGAGAAACTTTTTGGTGGTGTGCACATTCATGTCACAGAGTTGAACGTTTATTTTGATTGAGCAGTTTTGAATCTCCTTTTTTTAGAATCTGCAATTGGATATTTCAATCCCTTTGTGGCCTATGGTGGAAAAGGAAATACCTTCAAATAAAAACTACACAGAAGCATTCTGAGAAACTTCTTTGTGATGTGTCCATTCATTTCACAGAGTTGATCCTTTCTTTTTATTCAGCAGTTTTGAAACACTCACTTTACAGGATCTGCAAGTAGATATTTGGATCGCTTTGAGGCCTAACATGGAAAAGCAAATATCTTCACATAAAGACTACACAGAAATGGGCAGTTTTGAATCTCCTTTTTTTAGAATCTGCAATTGGATATTTCGATCCCTTTGCGGCCTATGGTGGAAAAGGAAATACCTTCAAATAAAAGCTACACAGAAGCATTCTGAGAAACTTCTTTGTGATGTGTCCATTCATTTCACAGAGTTGATCCTTTCTTTTTATTCAGCAGTTTTGAAACACTCCTTTTATAGAATCTGCAAGTACATATTTGGAGCGCTTTGAGGCCTACCGTGGAAAAGCAAATATCTTCACATAAAAACTACACAGAAATATTCTGAGAAACTTTTTTGTGGTGTGTACATTCATGTCACAGAGTTGAACGTTTCTTTTGATTGAGCAGTTTTGAATCTCCTTTTTTTAGAATCTGCATTTGGATGTTTTGATCCCTTTGTGGCCTATGGTGGAAAAGGAAATAACTTCAAATAAAAACTACACAGAAGCATTCTGAGAAACTTCTTTGTGATGTGTGTATTCAACTCACAGAGTTGAACCTATCTGCTAATTGGGCAGTTTTGAATCTCTCTTTTTGCAGAATCTGAAAGTTGCTATTTGGAGAGCTTTGAGGCCTATTGTAGAAAAGGAAATATCTTCACATAGAAACTACACAGAAGCATTCTGAGAAACTTCGTTGTGAGGTGTGTATTCAAAACACAGAGTTGAACCTACCTTTTGAATGAGCAGCTCTGAATCTCCCTTTTTGCAGAATCTGCAAGTGGATATGTGGAGAGTTTTGAGGCCTATTGCTGAAAAGGAAATATCTTCAAATAAGAACAAAACAGAAGCATTCTGAGAAACTTCTTTGTGATGTGTTCATTCATCTCAAAGAGTTGAAACTTTCTTTTGATTGAGGAGTTTTGAAACACACTTTTTGTAGAATCTGCAAGTGGATATTTGGAGCGATTTGAGGCCTATTGTGGAAAAGGAAGTATCTTCACTTAAAAACTACACAGAAGCATTCTGGGAAACTTCTCTGTGATGTGTGCATTCATCTCACAGAATTGAACGCCTCTTATGATTGAGCAGTTTCCAATCTCTCTTTTTGTAGAATCTGCAAGTGGATATTTGCAGCCCTTTGTGCCCTATTGTTGAAAAGGAAATATCTTCAAGTAAAAACTACACAGAAGCATTCAGAGAAACTTCTTTGAGAGGAGTGCATTCATCACACAGTGTTGAACGTTACTTTTCATTGAGCAGTTTTGAAACACTCTTTGTAGAATCTGGAAGTGGATATTTGGAGGGCTATGAGGCCTATTTTGGAAAAGAGTATATCTTAACATAAAAACTACACAGAAGCATTCTGAGAAACTCCTTTGTTATGTGTGCATTCAACATCCAGAGTTGAACCTATCTTTTGATTGAGCAGTTTTGATTCTCTCTTTTTGCAGAATCTTCAAGTGGATATTTGTAGCGATTTGGGGCCTATGGTGGAAAAGCAAATACTTCAAATAAAAACTACACAGAAGAATTCTGAGAAACTTTTTTGGAGATGTGCATTCAACTCACAGAGTCGAAACTACCGCCTTATTGAGCACTTTTGAATCTCTCTTTTTGCAGAATCTGCAAGTGGATATTTGGAGAGCTTTGAGGCCTATTGTGGAAAAGCAAATATGTTCACATAAAAACTACACAGAAGCATGCTGAGAAACCTCTTTGTGATGTGTTCATTCATCTCACAAAGTTGAAACTTTCTTTTGATTGAGCAGTTTTGAAACACTCTTTTTGTAGTATCTGCAAAGGGATACCTGGAGCGGTTTGAGGCCTATTGTGGAAAAGGAAGTATCTTCACTTAAAAACTACGCAGAAGCATTCTGAGAAACTTCTTTGTGATGTGTGCATTCAACTCACAGAGTTGAACCTTTCTTTTGATTGAGCAACTTTGAATCTCTCTTTTTGTAGAATCTTCAAGTCCATATTTGGAGCCCTTTGCGCCCTATTGTGGAAAATGAAATATCTTCAAATAAAAACTACACAGAAGTATTCAGAGAAACTTCTTTGTGATGAGTGCATTCATCACACAGAGTTGAACCTTTCCTTTGATTGAGCAATTTTGAAACACTCTTTTTGTGGAATCTGGAAGTGTATATTTCAAGAGCTTTGAGGCCTATTTTGGAAAAGGAAATATCTTCACATAAAAACTACACAGAAGCATTCTGACAAACTTCTTTGTTATGTGTTCATTCAACTCACAGATTTGAACTTATTTTTTGATTGAGAAGTTTTCAATCTCTCTTTTTGTAGAATCCGTAAGTAGATATTTGGAGCCCTTTGCACCCTATGGTGGAAAAGGAAATATCTTTAAATAAAAAGAGCACAGTAGCATTCTGAGAAACTTCTTTGTGATGAGTGCATTCATCTCAGAGAGTTGAACCCTTCCTTTGATTGATCAATTTTGCAACACTCTTTTTGTAGAATCTGGAATTGGATATTTGGAGGGCTTTGAGGCCTATGGTGGAAAAAGAAATATCTTCACATAAAAACTGAACAGAAACATTCTGAGAAACTTCTTTGTTATATATGCATTAAACTTAAAGAGTTGAACAGATCTTTTGATTGAGCAGTTTGGAATCTCTCTTTTGTAGACTTTGTTATTGAATATTTAGAGCCCTTTGCAGCATATGGTGGAAAAGGAAATATCTTCAAATAAAAACTACATACACAGAAGCATTCTGGGAAACTTCTCTGTGATGTGTGCATTCATCTCACAGGGTTGAACGTATCTTCTGATTGAGCAGTTTCCAATCTCTCTTTTTGTAGAATCTGCAAGTGGATATTGGGAGCTCTTTGTGCCCTAAAGTTGAAAAGGAAATATCTTCAAATAAAAACTACACAGAAGCATTCAGAGAAACTTCTTTGTGAGGAGTGCATTCATCACACAGTGTTGAATGTTTCTTTTCATTGAGCAAATTTGAAACACTCTTTTTGTAGAATCTGGAAGTGGATATTTGGAGGGCTTTGAGGCCTATTTTGGAAAAGGGTATATCTTAACATAAAAACTACACAGAAGCATTCTGAGAAACTCCTTTGTTATGTGTGAATTCAACACACAGAGTTGAATCTATCTTTTGATTGAGCAGTTTTGAATCTCTCTTTTTGCAGAAACTTCAAGTGGATATTTGTAGCGCTTTGAGGCCTACTGTGGAAAAGCAAATATCTTCAAATAAAAACTACACAGAAGAATTCTGAGAAACTTCTTTGGAGATGTGCATTCAACTCACAGAGTTGAACCTATGTCTTGATTGAGCAGTTTTGAATCTCTCTTTTTGCAGAATCGGCAAGTGGATATTTGGAGAGCTTTGAAGCCTATTGTGGAAAAGGAAATATCTTCACATAAAAACTACACAGAAGCATTCTGAGAAACATGTCTGTGGTGAGTGCATTCAGCTCACAGAATTGAACCTATCTTTTGATTGAGCAGTTTTGAAACTGTTTTTGTAGAATCTACAAGTGGATATTTGGATCGATTTGAGGCCTACTGTAGAAAAGGAGATATCTTCACATAAAACCTACACAGAAGCATTCTGAGAAACTTCTTTTTGATGGGTGTCTTCAACTCACAGAGTTGAACCTATCTTTTGATTGACCCGTTTTTAAACTATCTTTTTGTAGAATCTGCAAGTGGATATTTGGAGCCCTTTGCGCTCTATGGTGGAAAAATAAATATCTTCAAATAAAAATTACACAGAAGCATTCAGAGAAACTTCTTTGTGATGAGTGCATTCATCACACAGAGTTGAAATCCTCCTCTGATTGAGCAGTTTTGAAACACACTTTTTGCAGTATCTGCAAGTTGATATTTGGAGAGCTTTGAGGCCCATTGTGGAAAAAGAAATATTTTCACATAAAAATTTCACAGAAGCATTTTGGGAAACTTTTCTGTGATGCGTGCATTCAACTAACAGAGTTGAACCTATCTTTTGATTGGGCAGTTTTGAATCTCTCTTTTTGTACAATCTGCAAGTGGATATTTGGAGCCCTTTGTGGCCTATGGTGGAAAAGAAAATATCTTCAAATAAAAACTACACAGAAGCATTCTGAGAAACTTGATTGTGATGTGAGCATTCATCTGACAGGGTTGAACCTTTCTTTTGATTGGGAAGTTTTGAAACACTCTATTGTGGAAAAGGAAGTATCTTCACATAAAAATTACACAGAAGCATTCTGAGAAACATCTTTGTGATGTGTGCATTCATCTCACAAGGTTGAACCTATCTTATAATTGAACAGATTTCTATTTCTCTTTTTGTAGAATCTGCAAGTGGATATTTGGAACCATTTGCGTCCTATGGTGGAAAGGGAAATATCTTCAAATAAAAACTACACAGAAGAATTCTGAAAAAAGTCTTTGTGATCTGTGCATTCATCTCAGAGGGTTCAACCTATCTTATGATAGAGCAGTTTTGAAACACTCTTTCTGTATAATCGGCAAGTGGATATTATGAGCGCTTTGAGGCCTACTTTGGAAAAGCACATATCTTAACCTAAAAACTACACAAAAACATTCTGAGAAACTTCTTTGTGATGTGTGCGTTCACCTCACAGAGTTGAACCTTTCTTTTGATTGAGTAGTTTTGAAACACTCTTTTTGTAGAATCTGCAAGTGGATATTTGGAGTGATTTCAGGCCTATTGTGGAAAAGGAAATATCTTCAAATAAAAACTACACAGAAGCATTCTGAGAAACTTCTTTGTGATGTGTGCATTCAACTCAGAGAGTTGAACCTATCTTTTGATTGAGCCGTTTTGAATCTCTCTTTTTGTAGAATCTGCAAGTGGATATTTGGAGCCCTTTGTGCTCTTTGGTGGAAAAGGATATATCTTCAAATAAATACTACACAGAAGCATTCAGAGAAACTTCTTTGTGATGAGTGCATTCATCACACAGAGTTGAAACCTTCCTTTGATTGAACAGTTTTGAAACACTCTTTTTGCAGTATCTGCAAGTTGATATTTGGAGAGCTTTGAGGCCCATTGTGGAAAACGAAATATCTTCACATGAAAACTACACAGAAGCATTCTGAGAAACTTCTTTGTGATATGTGCATTCAACTCAGAGAGTTGAATCTATCTTTGGACTGGGCAGATTTGAATCTCTCTTTTGTAGAATCTGCAAGTCGATATTTGGAGCCCTTTGTGGCCTATAATGGAAAAGGAAATATCTTCAAACTGAAACTACACAGAAGCATTCTGAGAAACATCCTTGTGATGTGTGCATTTGTCTCACAGAATTTAACCATTCTTTTGATTGAGCTGTTTGGAAACACTCTTTTTGTAGAATCTGCAAGTGGATATTTGGAGCGATTTGAGGCCTATTTTGAAAAAGGAAATATCTTCACATAAATACTGCACAGAAGCATTCTGTGAAACTTCTTGTTATGTGTGCATTCAACTCACAGTGTTGACCCTATCTTTTGATTCAGCATTTTTAAATCTCTCTTTCTGTAGAATCTGCAAGTGGATACTTGGAGCATTTTGTGCCCTATGATGGAAAATGAAATATCTTCAAATAAAAACTACACAGAAGCATTCTGGGAAACTTCTTTGAGAAAAATGCATTCACCACACAGAGTTGAACCTTTCTATTGACTGAGTAGTTTTGAAACACTTTTTTTGTAGAATCTGGAAGTGAATATGTGAAGGGCTTTGTGGTCTATTTTGGAAAAGGAAATATCTTCGGATAAAAACTACACAGAAGCATTCTGGGAAACTTCCTTGTTATGTGTGCATTCAACTCACGGATTTGAACCTATCTTTTGACAGAGTAGTTTTGAAACTCTCTTTTGGTAGAATCTGTAAGTGGATATTTGGGGAGCTTTGCAGCCTATGGTAGAAAACGGAATACCCTCACATAAAATATAGACAGAAGCAAACTGAGAAATTTTTTTATGATGTGTGCATTTATCTCACAGAGTTAAAACTTTCTCTTGATTGAGCAATTTTGCTACTCTCTTTACGTAGAATCTGGAAGTGGACATTTGGAGCTCTTAAAGGCCTATGGTGGAAAAGGAAATATCTTCACATAAAATCCAGACAGAAGCAATCTGAGAAACTTCTTTGTGATGTTGCATTCATCTCACAGAGTTAAATCTTTCTTTTGATTGAGGAGTTTTGAAACACTCCTTTTGTAGAATCTGCAAGTGGATATTTGGATCATATTGAGGCCCATCGTGGAAAAGGAAGTATCTTCATATAAAAACTAGACAGAAGAATTCTGAGAAACATCTTTGTGATGAGAGCGTTCATCTCACAGAGTCAAAAATTTCTTTTGATTGAGCTGTTTGGAAACACTCTTTTTGTAGAATCTGCAAGTGGACTTTTGGAGCGCTTTGAGGCCTATGGTAGAAAAGGAAAGATATTCACATTAAAATCTAGATAGAGGCAATCTGAGAAAGTTCTTTGTGATGTGTGCATTCATCCCACACAGTTAAACCTTTCTTTTGATTCAGTAGTTTTGAAACTCTCTTTTTGTAGAATCTGCAAGTGGATATTTGGAGAGATTTTAGACCTATGGGGAAAAGGAAATATCTTCACATAAAAACTAGATAGAAGAATTCTGAGAAACTTCTTTGTGATGTCTGTGTTCATCTCATAGAGCTGAACATTTCTTTTGATTGAGCAGTTTGGAAACATTCTTTTTGTAGAATCTTCAAGTGGACATTTGGAGTGCTTTGCAATCTATGGTATAAAAGGAAATATCTTCACATAAAATCTAGACAGAAGCAACCTGATAAACTTCTTTGTGATATGTGCGTTCATCTCACAGGGTTGAAGTTTTCTTTTGATGGACCAGATTTGAAACTCTCTTTTTGTAGAATCTGCAAGTGGACATTTAGAGTGCTTTGTGGCCTATGGTGGAAAATAATGTATCTTCACATAAAAACTAGACAGAAGAATTCTGAGAAACTTCTTTATGATGCCTGTGTTCTTCTCACAGATTTGAACCTTCTTTTGATTGAGAAGTTTGGAAACACTCCTTTTGTAGAATCTGCAAGTGGACATTTGGAGCGCTTTGGGGCCTATGGTATAAAAGGAAATATCTTCACATAAATTGTAGACAGAAGCAATATGAGAAACTTCTTTGTGATGTGTGCATTCATCTCACAGAGTTAAAACTTCTTTGATTGAGCAGTTTTGAAGCTCTCTTTTTGTAGAACCTGCACGTGGACATTTGGGGCGTTTTGAGGCCTACGGTGGAAAAGGAAATATCTTCGCATAAAAACTAGACAGAAGCATTCTGAGAAACTACTTTGTGATGTGTGCATTCATCTCACAGAGTTGAACCTTTCTTTTTATTGAGCAGTTTGGAAAAACTTTTGTAGTAGAATCTTCAGGAGGACATTTGGAGTGCTGTGCGGCCTAGGCTGGAAAAAGAAATATCCTCACATAAAATCTAGACAGAAGCAATCTGATTAACTTCTTTGTGATGTGTGCATTCATCTCACAGAGTTAAAACTTTCTTTTGATTGAGCCCTTTGGAAACTCTCTTTCTGTAGAATCTTCAAGTGGATATTTGGAACGCTTAAAGGCCTATGACAGAAAAGGAAATATCTTCATATAAAAACAAATCAGAAGAACTCTGAGAAACTTCCTTGTGATGTGTGCATTCATCTCACAGAGTTGAAACTTTCTTTTGATTGAGGAGTTCAGAAACACTCTTTTTGTAGGATCTGCAAGTGGATATTTGGAGCGCTTTGTGGCCTATGGCAGAAAAGGAAATATCTTCAGACAAAATCTAGACAAAAGCAATCTGAGAAACTTCTTTGTGATGTGTTCATTCATCTGAAAGAGGTAAACTTTTTTTGATGCACGAGTTTTGAAACTCTCTGTTTGTAGAATCTGCAAGTGCACATTTGGAGCGCTTTGAGGACTATGGTTGGAAAGCAAATATCTTCAAATAAAAACTAGGCAGAAGAATTCTGAGAAACGACTTGGCGATGTGTGCATTCATCTAACAGAGTTGAATCTTTCTTTTGATTGAGCAGTTTGGAAACACTCTTTTTGTAGAATCTGCAAGTGGACATTTAGAGCGTTTTGCGGCCTATGGTAGAAAAGGAAATATCTTCACATAAAATCTGGACAGAAGCAATCTGAGAAACTTCTTTGTGATGTGTGCATTCATCTCACAGAGTTAAAGCTTTGTTTTGATTTAACAGTTTTGAAACTCTCTTTTTGTAAAACCTACAAGTGGATATTTGGAGCACTTTGAGGCCTATATTGGAAAAGGAAATATCTTCATATAAAATATAAACAGAAGTAATCTGATAAACTTCTTTGTGATTGGTGCATTCATCTCAGAGGGTTGAAGTTTTCCTTTGATGGAGCAGATTTGAAACTCTCTTTTTGTAGAATCTTCAAGTGGATATGTAGAGTGCTTTGTGGCCTATGGTGGAAAATAACGTATCTTCACATAAAAACTAGACAGAAGAATTCTGAGAAACTTCTTTGTGATGCGTGCATTGTTCTCACAGAGTTGAACCTTCCTTTAGATTGAGCAGTTTGGAAACTCTCTTTTTGTAGAATCTGCAAGTGGACATTTGGAGCGCTTTGGGGCCTATAGCATAAAAGGAAATATCTTCACATAAATTGTAGACAGAAGCAATCTGAGAAACTTCTTTGTGATGTGTGCATTCATCTCACAGAGTTAAAGCTTTCTTTTGATTGAGCAGTTTTGAAACTCTCTTTTTGTAGAATCTGCAAGTGGACAATTTGAGCACCTTGAGGCCTCTGGTGGAAAATGAAATATCTTCACATAAAAACTAGACAGAAGAATTCTGGGAAACATCTTTGTGATGTCTGCGTTCATCTTACAGAGTTGAACCTTTCTTTTGATTGAAGAGTTTGGAAAGAGTCTTTTTGTAGAATCTGAAAATGGATATTTGGAGTGCTTTGCAGTCTGTGGCAGAAAAGGAAATATCTTCAGACAAAATCTAGACAGAAGCAATTTGAGAAACTTCTTTGTGATGTGTGCATTCATCAGAAAGAGGTTAACATTTTTTTTTTTGATGAAGGAGCTTTGAAACTCTCTGTAGAATCTGCAAGTGGACATTTGGAGCACTTTGAGGACTATGGTGGGAAAGGAAATATCTTCACATAAAAACTAGACAAAAGAATTCTGAGAAACTTCTTTGTGATGTGTGCGTTCATCTGACAGAGTTCAATCTTTCTTTTGAATGAGGAGCTTGGAAACATTCTTTTTGTAGAATCTGCAAGTGGACATTTGGAGCGCTTTGCGGCCTATGATAGAAAAGGAAATATCTTCACATAATATCTAGACAGAAGCAATCTGAGCAACATCCTAGTGATGTGTTCATTCATCTCACAGAGTTAAACCTTTCTTTTAATTCAGAAGTTTTGAAACTCTCTTTTTGTAGAATCTGCAAGTGGACATTTGGAGCGCTTTGAGGCCTATGGTAGAAAAAGAAATATCATAACATAAAATCTATACAGAAGAAATCTGAGAAACTTCTTTGTGAAGTGTGCATTCATCTCACAGAGTTGAACCTTTCTTCTGATTGAAGAGCTTTGAAACTCTCTTTTTATAGAATCTTCAAGTGGACATTTGGAGTGCTTTGAGGTGTATGGTGGAAAAAGAAATATCTTCACATACAATCTAGACAGAAGCAAGAAGAGAAACTTCTTTGTGATGTGTGCATTCATCTGACAGAGTTGGACCTTTATTTTGATGGAGCAGTTTTGAAACTCTCTTTTTGTAGAATCTGAAAGTGGACATTTGGAGCGTTTTGCAGGCTATGGTAGAAAAGGAAATATCTTCACATGACATCTAGACTGAAGCAATCTGAGAAACTTCTTTGTGATGTTTGCATTCATCTCACAGAGTTAAACCTTTCTTTTGATGGACCAGTTTTGAAATATTCTTTTGTAGAACCTGCAAGTGGACATTTCGAACACCTTGAGGCCTATATTGGAAAATAAATTATCTTCACATAAAAACTAGACAGAAGAACTCTGAGAAACTTTTTTGTGATGCGTGCATTCATCTCACAGAGTTGAACTTTCTTTTGGTTGAACAGTTTGGAAACACTCTTTTTGTAGAATCTGCAAGTGGACATTTGGATCGCTTTGGAGTCTATGGTAGAAAAAGAAATATCTTCACATACAATCTAGACAGAAGCAATCTGAGAAACTACTTTGTGATGTCTGCATTAAAAATGTCCACTTGCAGATTCTACAAAAAGAGTGTTTCAAAACTACTCTATCAAAAGAAACGTTTAACTCTGTGGATGAATGCAAACATGAGAAACAAGTTTCTCAGATTGCTTCTGTCTATATTTTATGTGAGGATATTTCCTTTTCTATCATAGGGCGCAAACCGCTCCAAACGTCCCCTTGCAGATTCTACAAAAAGAGTGTTTCCAAACTGCTCAATCAAAAGAAAGGTTCAAGTCTGTGAGATAAACGCACACATCACAAAGAAGTTTCTCAGAATTCTTCTGTCTAGTTTTATGTGAAGATACTTCCTTTTCCACCATAGGCCTCAAAGCGCTCCAAATGTCCACATGCAGATTCAACAAAAAGAGATTTTCCAAATTGTTCAATCAAAAGAAAGGCTCAACCTTGTGAGATTAACGAACGTCAAAAAGATGTCTGTCAGCATTCTTCTGTCTAGTTTCTATGTGAAGATAGTTCCTTTTCCACTATGGTCCTCAAAGCACTCCAAATGCTGACTTGAAGATTCTACAAAAAGAGCATTTCAAAACTGTTCAATCAAAAGAAAGGTTCAACTCCGTGAGATGAATACACACATCACAAAGAAGTTTCTCAGAAGTCTTCTGTCCAGATTTTTGTGAAGATATTTCCTTTTCCACCATAGTTCTAAAAGCGCTCCAAATGTCCACTTGCAGATTCTACAAAAAGAGAGTTTCAAAACTGCTCAATCAAAAGAAAGATTTAACTCTGTGAGATTAACGCACACATCAAACGGATGTTTCTCAGATTGCTTCTGTCCTGATTTTATGTGAAGATATTTCGTTTTCTACCATAGGCAGCATAGCGCTCCAAATATCCACCTGCAGATTGTACAAAAAGAGTGCTTCCAAACTGCTCAATCAAAGAAAGGTTCAACTCTGTGAGATGAACTCACTCATCACAAAGAAGTTTCTCAGAATTATTCTGTCTGGTTTTTATGTGAAGATATTTCCTTTTCCACCATAGTCCTCAAAGCGCTCCAAATGACCACTTGCAGATACTACAAAAAGTAAGTTTCAAAACTCCTCAGTCAAGAGAAAGGTTTAACACGGTGTGATGAATGCACACATCACAAAGAAGTTTCTCAGATTGCTTCTGTGTAGATTTTATGTGAAGATATTTCCTTTTCTACCAT
Source organism: Homo sapiens (assembly GCF_000001405.40). Taxonomy (NCBI): domain Eukaryota; kingdom Metazoa; phylum Chordata; class Mammalia; order Primates; family Hominidae; genus Homo; species Homo sapiens. Next base: position 7,243,379 of record NC_000021.9, on the reverse strand, counting down.
AGGCTTCAAAGCGCTCCAAATGTCCACTTGAAGATTCTGCAAAAAGAGAGTTTCCAAACTGCTCATTCAAAAGAAAGGTTCAACTCTGTGAGATGAATGCACACATCACAAAGAAGTTTCCCAGGATTTTTCTGTCTAGTTTTTATGTAAAGATATTTCCTTTTCCACCATAAGACTCAATGAATTTGAAATGTCCACTTGCAGATTCTACCAAAAGAGTATATCAACACTGTTCCATCAAAAGAATGTTTCAACTCTGGGAGATGAATTCACATGTCACACCAAAGTTTCTCAGATTGCTTCTATCTAGTTTTTATGTGATGATATTTCCTTTTTCTAACACAGGCCTCAAAGATTTCCAAATGTCCACTTGCAGATTCTACAAAAAGAGAGTTTCAAAACTGCTTAATCAAAAGAAAGCTTTAATTCTGTGACATGAATGCACACATCAAAAGCAATTTCTCAGATTTCTTCCTCTAAATTTTATTTGAAGATATTTCCTTTACTATCATATGCCACAAAGCTCTCCAAATGTTCACTTGCAGATTCTTCAAAAAGATTGTTTCCAAACTGCTCAATCAAAAGAAATGTTTAACTCTGTGAGATGAATTCACACATCAGAAATAAGTTTCTCAGATTGCTTCTGTCTATATTCTATGTGAAGATATTTCCTTTTCTATCATAGGGTGTAAACCGCTCCAAATGTCCCCTTGCAGATTCTACAAAAAGAGTGTTTCCAAACTGCTCAATCAAAAGAAAGGTTCAAGTCTGTGAGATAAATGCAGACATCACAAAGAAGTTTCTCAGAATTCTTCTGTCTAGTTTTTATGTGAAGATACTTCCTTTTCCACCATAGGCCTCAAAGCGCTCCAAATGTCCACATGCAGATTCTACAAAAAGAGGGTTTCCAAACTGCTCAATCAAAACAACGGTTCAACTCTGTGAGGTGAACACACACATCAACAAGAAGTTTCTCAGAATTCTTTTGACTAGTTTTTATGTGAAGATATTTCCTTTTCTACCATAGGTCTCAAAGCACTCCAAATGTAGACTTGTAGATTCTACAAAAAGAGTTTCAAAACTGCTCAATCAAGGGAAAGGTTACACAATGTGTGGTGAATGCACACATCACAAAGAAGTCTCAGATTGCTTCTGTCTAGATTTTATGTGATGATATTTCCTTTTCTACCGTAGGCCACAAAGTGCTCCAAAAGTCCACTTGCAGATTCTACAAAAAGAGTGTTTGAAACTGCTCAATCAAAAGAAAGGTTCAACTGTGTGAGATTAACGCACACATAAGAAAGAAGTTTCTCAGAATTCTTCTGTCTAGTTTTCATGTGAAGCCATTTTCTTTTCCACCATAGGCCTCCAGGCGCTCAAAATGTCCACTTGCAGATTCTACAAAAAGACAGTTTCAAATCTGCTCATTCAAAAGGAAGCTTTAATTCTGTAAGATGAATACAAACATCACAAAGGAGTCTCTCAGAATTCCTCTGTTCAGATTTTATGTGAAGATATTTCCTGTTCTACCATAGGCTTCAAAGCATTCCATACGTCCACTTGCAGATTCTACAAAAAGAGTGTTTCCAAACTGCTCAATCAAAAGAAAGGTTCAACTCTGTGAGATGAACGCACACATCACATAGAAGTTTCTCAGAATACATCTATTTAGTTTTCATGTGAAGATATTTCCTTTTCCACCATAGGCTGCAAAACGCTCCAAATATCCGCTGGCAGATTCTAAAAAAGAGGGTTTCCAAACTGATCAATCATAAAGAAAGGTTCAACTCTGTTACATGAATGCAAGCATCACAAAGGAGTTTCTCAGAATTCTTCTGCCGAGTTTCAATTTGTAGATATTTCCGTTTCCACCATAGGCCTGAAAGGGCTCAAAATGTCCACTTGCAGATTCTACAAAAAGATACTTACAAAACTGCTGGATCAAAAGAATGTTTTACTCTGTGAGATGAATGCACACATCCCAAAGAAGTTTCTCAGAATTGTTCTGTCTAGTTTTTATGTGAAGATATTTCCTTTTCCACCATAGGTCTAAAAGTGCTCCAAATGTCCACTTGCAGATTCTACAAAAAGAGAGTTTCAAAACTGCTGAATCAAAAGTAAGGTTCAACTCTCTTAGATGAATGCACATATCACAATGAAGGTTGTCAGAATGCTTCTGTCTAGTTTTTATGTGAAGATATTTCCTTTTCCACCACGTGCGTCAAAGCCCTCCAAATGTCCACTTGCAGATTCTCCAAAAAGAGTGTTTCAAAATTGCTCAATGAAAAGTAAGGTTCAACTCTGTGAGATGAATGCACACATCACAAAGAAGTTTCTCAGAATACTTCTGTATGGTTTTTAGGTGAAGATATTTTCTTTTCCTCCATAGGCCTCAAAGCGATCCAAATGTCCACATGCAGATCCTACAAAAAGAGTTTTTCAAAACTGCTCAATCAAAAGAAAGGTTCACATCAGTGAGATGAATGCAAACGTCACAATGAAGTTTTTCAAAATACTTCTGTCTAGTTTTTCTGTGAAGATATTTCCTTTTCCACCATAGGCCTCAAAGCGCTCCAAATGTCCACTTGCAGATTCTACAAAAAGAGTGTTTCAAAGCTGTTCAATCAAAAGAAAGGTCCAGCTCTGAGAGATGAATGCACACTTTACAAAGTAGTTTGTCAGAATGCTTCTGTCTCGTTTTTATGTGAAGGTATTTCCTTTTCCACCATGTGCGTCAAAGCCCTCAAAATGTCCACTTACAGATTCTCCAAAAAGAGTGTTTCAAAATTGCTCAATGAAAAGTAAGGTTCAACTCTGTGAGATGAATGCACACATCGCAAAGAAGTTTGTCAGAATGCTTCTGTCTAGTTTTTATGTGAAGATATTTCCTTTTTTGCCATAGGCCCCAAAGCGCTCCAAATGACTACTTGCAGATTCTACAAAAACAGTGTTTCAAAGTTGCTCAATCAAAAGAAAGGTTCAACTCTGAAAGATGAATGCACACATAACAAAGAAGTTTGTCAGAAGATTTCTGTCTAGTTTTTATGTGACGATATATCCTTTTCCACCATAGGCCACAAAGCGGTCCAATTGTCCACTTGCAGATTCTACAAAAAGAGTGTTTCATATCTGCTCAATGAAAAGTAAGGTTCAAATCTGTGAGTTGAACGCACACATCGAAAAGAAGTTTGTCAGAATGCTTCTGTCTGTTCTATATGTGAAGATGTTCCCTTTTCCACCATAGGCCTCAAAGCGCTCCAAATGTACACTTGCAGATTCTACAAAAAGAGTGTTTCAAAGCTCCTGAATCAAAGAAAGTTTCAATTCTTTGTGAGATGAATGCACACATAACAAAGAAGTTTGTCAGAATGCTTCTGTCTAGTTTTTCTGTGAAGATATTTCCTTTTCCACCATAGGCCTCAAAGCGCTCCAAATGTCCACTTGCAGATTCTACAAAAAGAGTGTTTCAAAGCTGTTCAATCAAAAGAAAGGTCCAGCTCTGAGAGATGAATGCACACATTACAAAGTAGTTTGTCAGAATGCTTCTGTCCAATTTTTATGTGAAGGTATTTCCTTTTCCACCATGTGCGTCAAAGCCCTCAAAATGTCCACTTACAGATTCTCCAAAAAGAGTGTTTCAAAATTGCTCAATGAAAAGTAAGGTTCAACTCTGTGAGATGAATACACACATCGCAAAGAAGTTTGTCAGAATGCTTCTGTCTAGTTTTTATGTGAAGATATTTCCTTTTTTGCCATAGGCCCCAAAGCGCTCCAAATGACTACTTGCAGATTCTACAAAAACAGTGTTTCAAAGTTGCTCAATCAAAAGAAAGGTTCAACTCTGAAAGATGAATGCACACATAACAAAGAAGTTTGTCAGAAGATTTCTGTCTAGTTTTTATGTGACGATATATCCTTTTCCACCATAGGCCACAAAGCGGTCCAATTGTCCACTTGCAGATTCTACAAAAGGAGTGTTTCATATCTGCTCAATGAAAAGTAAGGTTCAAATCTGTGAGTTGAACGCACACATCGAAAAGAAGTTTGTCAGAATGCTTCTGTCTGTTCTATATGTGAAGATGTCCCCTTTTCCACCATAGGCCTCAAAGCGCTCCAAATGTACACTTGCAGATTCTACAAAAAGAGTGTTTCAAAGCTCCTGAATCAAAGAAAGTTTCAATTCTTTGTGAGATGAATGCACACATCACAGAGAAGTTTGTCAGAATGCTTCTGTCTAGTTTTTAAGTGAAGATATTTCCTTTTCCACCATAGGCCTCAAAGCACTCCAATTGTCCACTTGCAGATTTTACAGAAAGAGTGCTTCGAAAGTGCTCAATCAAAAGGGAGGTTCAACTCTGTGAGATGAATGCACACGTCACAAAGAAGTTTCTCAGAATGCTTCTGTCCAATTTTTATGTGAAGATATTTCGTTTTCCACCATAGACCTCAAAGCACTCCAATTGTCCACTTGCAGATTTTACAGAAAGAGTGCTTCCAAAGTGCTCAATCAAAAGGGAGGTTCAACTCTGTGAGATGAATGCGCACATCACAAAGAAGTTTCTCAGAATGCTTCTGTCCAATTTTTATGTGAACATATTTCGTTATCCACCATAGGCCTCAAAGCACTCCAAATGTCCACTTGCAGATTCTACAAAAAGAATGTTGCAAAGCTTCTCAATCAAAAGAAAGTTTCAACTCCTTGTGAGATGTATGCAGACATCACAAAAAGTTTATCATAATGCTTCTCTCTATTTATTATATGAAGATATTTCGTTATCCATCATAGGACTCAAAGCGCTCCAAATGTCCACTTTCAGATTCTACAAAAAGAGTTTTTCAAAACTAGACAATCAAAAGTAAGGTTCAACTCTGTGAGATGATTGCACACATCACAAAGAAATTTCTCAGAATGTTTCTGTCTAGTTCTTATGTGAAGATATTTCCTTTTCCACCATAGGCCTCAAAGCACTCCAATTGTCCACTTGCAGATTTTACAGAAAGAGTGCTTCCAAAGTGCTCAATCAAAAGGGAGGTTCAACTCTGTGAGATGAATGCACACATCACAAAGAAGTTTCTCAGAATGCTTCTGTCCAATTTTTATGTGAACATATTTCGTTATCCACCATAGGTCTCAAAGCACTCCAAATGTCCACTTGCAGATTCCACAAAAAGAATGTTGCAAAGCTGCTCAATCAAAAGAAAGTTTCAATTCTTTGTGAGATGTATGCAGACATCACAAAAAGTTTAACATAATGTTTCTCTCTATTTATTATATGAAGATATTTCGTTATCCATCATAGGCCTCAAAGCTCTCCAAATGTCCACTTTCAGATTCTACAAAAAGAGTTTTTCAAAACTGGACAATCAAAAGTAAGGTTCAACTGTGTGAGATGATTGCACACATCACAAAGAAATTTCTCAGAATGCTTCTGTCTAGTTCTTATGTGAAGATATTTCCTTTTCCACCATAGGACTCAAAGCACTCCAAATGTCCACTTGCAGATAGCACAAAAAGGATGTTTCAAAACTGCTCAATCAAAAGTAAGTTTCAACTCTGTGAGATGAATGTACACATCACAAAGAAGGTTGTCAGAATACGTCTGTTTAGTTTTTATGTGAAGATATTTCCTTTTCCACCATCAGCCTCAAAGTGCTCCAAATGTTCACTTGCAGATTCTACAAAAAGGGTGTTTCAAACCCGCTGAATCAAAAGAAAGGTTCAACTCTGTGAGATGAATGCACAAATCACAAAGTAGTTTGTCAGAATGCTTCTGTCTAGTTTGTATGTGAAGATATTTTCTTTTCCACCAGAGACCTCAAAGCGCACCAAATGTTCACTTGCAGATTTTACAAATAGGGTGTTTCAAAGCTGCTCAATCAAAAGAAAGGTTCAACTCTGTGAGATGAATGCACACATCACAAAGAAGTTTGTCAGAATTCTTCTGTGTAGTTTTCATGTGAAGATATTTTCTTTTCTACCATAGGCCTCAAAGCGCTCCAAATGTCCACATGCAGATTCTATAAAATACTTTTTCAAAACTGCTCAATCAAAAGAAAGGTTCAAGTCAGTGAGATGAATGCAAACGTCACAAAGAAGTTTTTCAAAATGCTTCTGTCTAGTTTTTATCTGAAGATATTTCCTTTTCCACCATAGGCCTCAAAGTGATCCAAATGTCCAATTGCAGATTCTACAAAAAGAGTGTTTCAAAGCTGCTCAATCAAAAGAATGGTCCAGCTCTGCGAGATAAATGCACACATCACAAAGAAGTTTGTGAGAATGCTTCTGTCTGGTTTTTATGTGAAGATATTTCCTTTTCCACCATAGGCCTCAAAGCACTCCAAATGTCCAGTTGCAGACATTACAAAAAGGGTGTTTCAAAACTGCTCAATCAAAAGTAAGGTTCAACTCTGTGAGATGAATGCGCATGTCACAAAGAAGGTTGTCACAATGCTTCTGTCTAGTTTTTATGTGAAGATATTTCCTTTTCCACCATTGGCCTCAAAGTTCTCCAAATGTCCAAATGCAGATTCAACAAAAAGAGTGTTTCAGAACTGCTGAATGAAAGGTAAGGTTCAACTCTGTGAGATAAATGCACACATCACAAAGAAGTTTGTCAGAATGCTTCTGTCTAGTTTTTATGTGAAGATATTTACTTTTCCACCATAGGCCTCAAAGCGCTCCAAATGTCCACTTGCAGATAGTACAAAAAGAGTATTTCAAAACTTCTGAATGAAAATTAAGTTTCAACTCTGAGAGATTAATGCACACATCACAAAGATGTATGTCAGAATGCGTCTATCTAGTTTTTACGTCAAGATATTTCGTTATCCAACATAGGCCTCAAAGCGCTCCTAATGTCCACTTGCAGATTTTACAAAAACAGTGTTTCAAAGCTGCTTAATCAAAATAAAGTTCAAATCTGTGAGATGAATGCACCCATCGCAGAGAAATTTGTCAGAATGCTTCTGTTTAGTTCTTATGTGAAGATATTTCTTTTTGCACCAAAGGTCTCAAAGCACTCCAAATGTCCACTTGTGGATATTACCAAAAGGGTGCTTCAAAACTGCTCAATCAAAAGTAAGGTTCAACTCTGTGACATGAATGTACACATCACAAAGAAGTTTGTCAGAATGCTTTTGTCTAATTTTTATGTGGAGATATTTCCTTTTCCAACATAGGCCTCAAGTGCTTCAAATGTCCACTTGCAGATTCTACAAAAAGAGTGTTTTGAAACAGCTCAATTGAAGGTAAGGTTCAACTCTGTGATGTGAATGCACACATTACAAAGAAGTTTGTCAGAATGCTTCTGTCTAGTTTTTATGTGAAGATATCTCCTTTTCAACCATAGCTCTCAAGTGCTCCAAATGTCCACTTGTAGATTCTACAAAAAGAGTGCTTCAAAACTGCTCAATGAAAAGTAAGGTTCAATTCCATGAGATGAATGCACGCATCACAAAGGAGTTTGTCAGAATGCTTCTGTCTGGTTTTTATGTGATGATATTTCCTTTTCCACCAAAGGCCTCAAAGCACTCCAAATATCCAATTGCAGATTATACAAAAAGAGTGTTTCAGAGCTGCTCAATCAAAAGAAAGTTTCCACTCTGTGAGACGAATGCACACATCACAAAGAAGTTTGTCATAATGCTTCTGTCTAGTTGTTATATGAAGATATTTCATTAACCACCATAGGCCTCAAAGTGCAGCAAATGTCCACTTGCAGATTCTACAAAAAAGAGTGTTTCAAAACTGCTCAATCGAAAGTAAGGTTCAACTCTGTGAGATGAATGCACACATCACAAAGGAATTTCTCAGAATCTTTCTGCCTAGTTCTTATGTGAAGATATTTCCTTTTCCACCATAGGCCTCAAAGCACTCCAAATGTCCACTTGCAGATTCTACAAAAAGAGGGTTTCCAAATTGCTCAATCAAAAGAAAGGTTCAACTCTGTGAGCTGAAGGCACACATCACAAAGAAGTTTGTCAGAAAGCTTCTTTCTGGTTTTTATGTGAAGATATTTCCTTTTTCCACCAAAGGCCTCAAAGCGCTCCAAATGTCCAATTGCAGATGCTACAAAAAGAGTGTGTCTGAGCTTCTCAATCAAAAGAAAGGTTCCACTCTGTGAGACGAATGCACACATCATAAAGAAGTTTGGCATAATGCTTCTGTCTAGTTATTATATGAAGATATTTCATTAACCACCATAGGCCTCAAAGTGCAGCAAATGTCCACTTGCAGATTCTACAAAAAAGAGTGTTTCAAAACTGCTTAATCGAAAGTAAGGTTCAACTCTGTGAGATGAATGCACACATCAAAAAGGAATTTCTCAGAATCCTTCTGCCTAATTCTTATGTGAAAATATTTCCTTTTCCACCATAGGCCTCAAAGCACTCCAAATGTCCACTTGTAGATACTACAAAACGGGTGTTTCAAAACTGCTCAATCAAAAGTAAGGTTCAATTCTGTGAGATGAATTCACACATCACAAAGGAGTTTGTCAGAAAGCTTCTTTCTGGTTTTTATGTGCAGATATTTCCTTTTCCACCAAAGGCCTCAACGCACTCCAAATGTCCAATTGCAGATGCTACAAAAAGAGTGTTTCAGAGCTGCTCAATCAAAAGAAAGGTTCCACTCTGTAAGATGCAAGCACACATCATAAAGGAGTTTTTCATAATGCTTCCATCTAGTTATTATATGAAGATATTTTGTTATCCACCATAGGCCTCAAAGTGCAGCAAATGTCCACTTGCAGATTCTACAAAGAGAGTGTTTCAAAACTGCTCAATCGAAAGTAAGGTTCAACTCTGTGAGATGAATGCACATATCACAAAGAAGGTTGTCAGAATGCTTCTGTCTAGTTTTTATGTGAAGATAATTCCTTTTCCACCATAGGCCTCAAAGCGCACGAAATGTCCACTTGCAGATTCTACAAAGAGAGTATTTCAAAACTGCTCAATGAAAAATAAGGTTCAACTCTGTGAGATGAGTGCACACATCACAAAGAAGTTTGTCAGAATGCTTCTGTCTAGTTTTTATGTGAAGATTTTTCCTTTTCCACCATAGGCCTCAAAGCTCTCCAAATGTCCACTTGCAGATTCTACAAAAAGAGTGTTTCAAAGTTGTTCAATCAAAAGAAAGGTTCAACTCTGTGAGATGAATGCACACATCACAAAGTAGTTTCTCAGAATGCATCTGTCTACTTTTTACCTGAAGATATTTACTTTTCCACCATAGGCCTCAAAGCGCTCCAAATGTCCACTTGCAGATACTACAAAAAGAGTGTTTCAAAACTTCTCAATGAAAAGTAAGGTTCAACTCTGTGAGATGAATGCACACAACACAAAGAAGTTTGTGAGAATAGTCTGTCTAGTTTTTATGTGAAGATATTTCCTTTTCCACCATAGGCCTCATAGTGCTCCAAATGTCCACTTGTAGATTCTACAAAAAGAGTGTTTCAAAGCTTCTCAATGAAAAGCAAGGTTTAACCCTGTGAGATGAATGCGCACATCACAAAGAAGTTTCTCAGCAGGCTTCTTTCTAGTTTTTATATGAAGACATTTCCTTTTCCTCAATAGGACTCAAAGTCCTCCAATTGCTCACTAGCAGATTCTACAGAAAGAGTGTTTCAAAACTGCTCAATGAAAAGTAAGGTTCAATTCTGTGAGATGAATGCACACATCACAAAGAAGTTTGTCAGAATGCTTCTGTCTGGTTTTTATGTGTAGATATTTCCTTTTCCACCATAGGCCTCAAAGCGCTCCAAATATCCACTTGCTGATTCTACAAAAAGAGTGTTTCAAAGATGATCAATCAAAAGAAAGGTTCAAATCAGTGTGAGATGAATTCACACATCACAAAGAAGTTTCTCAAAATGCTTCTGTCTAGTTATTATATGAATATATTTGGTTATCCACTATAGGCCTCAAAGCGCTCCAAATGTCCACTTGCATATACTACAAAAAGAGTGTTTCAAAGCTGCTCAATCAAAACAAAGTTTCACCACGGTGAGATGAATACACATATCACATAGAAGTTTGTCAGAACGCTTCTGTCTAGTTTTTATGTGAATATATTTCCTTTTTCACCATATGCCTGAAATTGTTCCAAATGTCCACTTGCAGGTTCTACCAAAAGAGTGTTTCCAAACTGCTCAATAAAAAGAAAGGCTCAACTGTGTGAGATTAACACACTCAACACAAAGGAGTTTCTCAGAATTCTTTTTTCTCGTTTTTATGTGAAGATATTTCCTTCTCCACCATGGGTCTCAAAGTGCTCCAAATGTCCACTTGCAGATTGTACAAAAAGAGTGTTTCAAAGCTGTTCAATCAAAAGAAATGTTCAACTCTGTGAGATGAATGCACACATCACAAGGCAGTTTGTCAGAATGCTTCTGTCTAATTTTTATGTGAAGATATTTCCTTTTCCACCATAGTCCTCAAAGCGCTCCAATTGTACACTTATAGAATCTACAAAAATAGTGTTTTAAAACTGCTCAATCAACAGAAATGTTCAACTCCGTGAGATGAAGGCACACATCACAAAGAAGTTTGTCAGAGTGTTTCTGTCCAGTTCTGAAACACAATTTTTGTGCTATCTGCAAGTGGACTTTTGGAGTGCTTTGAGGCCTATGGTGGATAAGGAAATATCTTCACATAAAAACTAGACAGAAGCATTCTAACAAATTTCTTTGAGATGTGTGCACTCATTTCACAGAGTTGAACATTTCTTTTGATTGAGTAATTTGGTAACTCTCTGTAGAATCTGCAAGTGGATATTTGGAGCGCTATGAGGCCTATGGTCGAAAAGGAAGTATCTTCACTTAGGAACTAGACAGAAACATTCTGACAAACTTCTTTGTGATGTGTGCATTCATCTCAGAGTTGAACCATTCTTTTGATTGACCAGTTTTTTTTTTTTTTTTTTTTTTTTTTGAGACGGAGTCTCGCTCTGTCGCCCAGGTCAGACTGCGGACTGCAGTGGCGCAATCTCGGCTCACCGCAAGCTCCGCTTCCCAGGTTCACGCCATTCTCCTGCCTCAGCCTCCCGAGTAGCTGGGACTACAGGCACCCGCCACCGCGCCCGGCTAATTTTTTGTATTTTTAGTAGAGACGGGGTTTCACCGTTTTAGCCAGGATGGTCTCGATCTCCTGACCTCATGATCCACCCGCCTCGGCCTCCCAAAGTGCTGGGATTACAGGCGTGAGCCACCGTGCCCGGCCTTGATTGACCAGTTTTGAAACACTCTCTGTAGAATCTGCAAATGGACATTTGGAGGGCTTTGCAACCGATGGTGCAAAAGGAAATATCTTCACATAAAAACTATTCTGAAACATTCTGACAAACTCCTTTGTGATGTGTGCATTCATCTCATGGAGTTGAAACTTCCTTTGCATTGAACAGTTTTGAAAAACTCTTTTTGTAGAATCTGCAAGTGTACACTTGGAGCGCTTTGAGGCCTATTGTCGAAAAGGTAAAAACTTCACAAAAAATCTAGACAGGATCATTCTTAGAAAATTCTTTGTGATGTGATCATTCATCTCACAGAGTTGAATCTTTCTTTTGATTGAGCAGTTTTGAAACACTCTTTGTAGAATTTCCACGTGGACATTTGGCCCCTAAGAGGCCTATGTTGGAAAAGGAAATATCTTCACATTAAAACTAGACAGAAGCTTTCTGAGGTACTTCTTTGTGATGTGTGCATTCATCTCAGAGAGTTGAACATTGCTTTTGATTGAGCAGTTTTGAAACACCCTTTTTGTACTATCTGGAAGTGGATATTTGGAGTGCTTTGAGGCCTATGGTGGAGAAGGAAATATCTTCACATAAAAACTAGACAGAAGCATTCTGACAAATTACTTTGTGATGTGTGCATTTATCTCACAGAGTTGAACCTTTCTTTTGATTGAGTAGTTTGGAAACCCTCTTTTTGTAGAATCAGCAAGTGGACATTTGAGTGCTTTGAGGCCTATGGTGGAAAAATAAATATCTTCAATTAAAAATTAGACAGAAGCATTCTGAGAGATTTCTTTGTGATGTGTGCATTCATGTCACAGAGTTGAAATTTTCTTTTGATTGAGCAGTTTTGAAACACTCTTTTTGTAAAATCTGCAACTGGACATTTGGAGCACTTTGAGGACTATGATGGAAAAGGAAATATCTTCACATAAAAACTAGACATAAGCATAATGAAAAACTTCTTTGTGATGTGTGCATTCATCTCACGGAGTTGAACTTTTCTTTTGTTTGAGCAGCTTAAAAACACTGTTTTTGTAGAATCTGCAAGTAAACTTTTGGAGTGCTTTGAGACCTATGGCGGAAAAGGAAATATCTTCACATAAAAACTATAGAGAAAGATTCTGACAAACTTCGTCATAATGGGTGCATTCATCTTATGGAGTTGAAAATTAGTTTTGAATGACCAATTTGAAACACTCTTTTTGTAGGATCTGCACGTAGACATTTGGAGCGCTTTGAGGCCTATGGTGGAAAATGAAATATCTTCACATAAAAACTAGACAGAAGCATTCTGAAAAAATTTTGTGATGTGTGCATTCATCTCACAGAATTGGACCTTTCTTTTGATTGAGCAGTTTTGAAACACTCTTTTTGTAGAAACTGCAAGCGGACATGTGGAGTGCTTTGAGGCCAATGGTGGAAAAGGAATACCTTCACATAAAAACTATGCAGAAGCATTCTGTCAAACTCCTTTGTGACGGGTACATTCATCTCACAGAGTTGAACATTTCTTTTGATTGAGCAACTTTGAAACACCATTTTTGTAGAATCTGAGTGGACATTTTGCGCACGTTGAGGCCTATGGTGGAAAAGGAAATAACGTAAAAACTAGACAGAAGAATTCTGACAAACTTCTTTGTGATTTGTGCATTCATCTCACAGAGTTGAACCTTACTTTACGTTGAGCAGTTTTGAAACCCTTTTTGCAGAATCTTCATGTGGTCATTTGGGGCGCTTTGAGGCATATGGTGGAAAAGGAAATATCTTCACATAAAAACTACTCAGAAGCATTCCGACAAGCTTATTTCTGATGTGTGCATTCATGTCACAGGGTTGAAACTTACTTTTCATTGAGCAGTTTTGAAACACTCTTTTTGTAGAATCTGCAAGTAGACATTTGGAGCAACTTGATTCCTATGGTGGATAACGAAATATCTTCCTTTAATAACTAGACACAAGCATGGTGAGAAATTTCTTTGTGATGTGTGCATTCATCCCACAGAGTTGAACCTTTCTTTAGATTGAGCAGCTTTGAAACACTCTTTTTGTAGGATCTGCAAGTGGTCATTTGGAACACTTTGAGGCCTATGGTGGAAAAGGAAATATCTTCACATAAAAACTAGACAGAAGCATTCTACCAAACTTCTTTGTGATGTGTGCATTCATCTCACAGAATTGAATCTTACTTTTGATTGAGGAGTTTTGAAAGACGCTTTTTGTACTATTTGCAAGTGGACGTTTGGAGTGATTTGAAGCCTATGGTGGAAAAGGAAATATCTTCACATGAGAACTAGACAGAAACATCTTGACAAATGTCTTCATCATGTGTGCATTCATCTCACAAAGTTGAACCTTACTTTTCATTGAGCAGCTTTGAAACACTGTTATTGTAGAATCTGCAAGTGGACATTTGGAGTGCTGTGAGACCAATGGTGGAAAAGGAAAAATCTTCACATAAAAACTAGACAGAAGCATTGTGACAAACTTCTTTGTGATGTGTGCATTCATCTCACAGAGTTGAAACTTTCTTTTGATTGACCAGCTTTCAAAAGCTCTTTTTGTAGAATCTGGATGTGGACATTTGGAGCGCCTTGAGGCCCATGGTGGAAAGGGTAATATCTTCACATAAAAACCAGACAGAAGCATTCTGACAAACTTCTTTTTGATGTGTGCATTCATCTCACAGAGTTGAACTTTCTTTTGATTGAGCAGCTTTGAAACACTCTTTTTGTAGAATCTGCAAGTGGACATTTGGAGCGCTTTTTGGTGTCTGGTGGAAAAGGAAGTATCTTTACGTAATAACTAGACAGAAGCATTCTGACACACTTCTTTGTGATGTGTGCATTCATCTCACGGAGTGGCCTATGGTAGAAAAGGAAATATCTTCACATAAAAACTATATAGAAGCATTCTGGGAAACTTCTGTGTGATGTGTATGTTCATCTCACAGAGTTGAACCTTTCTTTGGATTGAGCATTTTGGAAACACTCTTTTTGTAGAATCTGCAGGTGAACATTTGGAGCACTTTACAGTCTATGGTAGAAAAGGAAATATCTTCACATAAAATCTAGACAGAAGCAATCTGTGAAACTTCTTTGTGATTTGTGTATTCATCTCACAGAGTTAACCCTTTCTTTTGATTGAGCAGTTTTCAAACTCTCTTTTTGTCGAATCTGCATTTGTACATTTGGAAGGCTTTGAGACCTATGGTGAAAAAGGAATTATCTTCTCATAAAAACTAGAAAGACAAATTCTGAGAAACTACTTTGTGATGTGTGCATTCCTCTCACAGAGTTGAAACTTTCTTTTGTTTGGGTCATTTGGAAACACTCTTTTTGTTGAATCTGCAAGTGGACATTTGGAGCACTTTGTGGCCTGTGGCAGAAAAGGAAATATCTTCACATAAAATCTAGACAGAAGCAATCTGAGAAAATTCTTTCTGATGTGAGAATTCATCTGACAGAGTTAAACCTTTCTTTTGATGAAGTAGTTTTGAAACTATCTTTGTACGATCTGCAAGTGGACATTTGTAACGCTTTGAGGTCTATGGTGGAAAAGGAAATATATTCAAATAACAAATTTACAAGAAAACAACAAACAACCCCATCAAAAAGTGGGCGAAGGACATGAACAGACACTTCTCAAAAGAAGACATTTATGCGCCAAAAGACACATGAAAAAATGCTCATCATCACTGGCCATCAGAGAAATGCAAATCAAAACCACAATGAGATATCATCCCACACCAGTTACAATGGCAATCATTAAAAAATCAGGAAACAACAGGTGCTGGAGAGGATGTGGAGAAATAGGAACACTTTTACACTGTTGGTGGGACTGTAAACTAGTTCAACCATTGTGGAAGTCAGTGTGGCAATTCCTCAGGGATCTAGAACTGGAAATACCATTTGACCCAGCCATCCCCTTACTGGGTATATGCCCAAAGGACTACAAATCATGCTGCTATAAAGACACATGCACACGTATGTTTATTGCGGCATTATTCACAATAGCAAAGACTTGGAACCAAGCCAAATGTCCAACAATGATAGACTGGATTAAGAAAATGTGGCACGTATACACCATGGAATACTATGCAGCCATAAAAAATGATGAGTTCATGTCCTTTGTAGGGACATGGATGAAATTGAAAATCATCATTCTCAGTAAACTATCACAAGAACAAAAAACCAAACACCGCATATTCTCACTCATAAGTGGGAATTGAACAATGAGAACACATGGACACAGGAAGGGGAACATCACACTCTGGGGACTGTTGTGGGGTGGGGGGAGGGGGGAGGGATAGCATTGGGAGATACACCTAATACTAGATGACGAGTTAGTGGGTGCAGCGCACCAGCATGGCACATGTATATATATGTAACTAACCTGAACGATGTGCACATGTACCCTAAAACTTAAAGTATAATAATAAAAAATAAAAATAAATAAAAATAAACTAGGCAGAAATATTCTGAGAAACAACTTTGTGATGTGTGTGTTCATCTCACAGAGTTGAACATTCCTTTTGATTTAGCAGTTTGCAAACACACTTTTTGTAGAATCTGCAAATTGTCATTTCGAGCGCTTTGCGGCCTTTGGTAAAAAAGGGAATATATTCACATAAAATCTAGACAGAAGTAATCTGAGAAATTTCTTTGTGATATGCACAGTCATCTCACAGACTTCAATATTTCTTTTGATTTAGCAGTTTTCAAACTCTCTTTTTGTAGAATCTGCAAGTGGACATTTGGAGCGCATTGAGGCCAATGGTTGAAATGGAAATATCTTCCCATAAAAACTAGACAGAATAATTCTGAGAAACTTCTTTGTGATGTATGCGTTCATCTCACAGAGTTGAAACTTTCTTTTGAGTCAGCAGTTTGGAAAGACTCTTTTTGTAGAATCTGCAACTGGACATTTGGAGCGCTTTACGGCCTATGACAGAAAATGAAATATCTTCACATAAAATCTAGACAGAAGCAATCTGAGAAACTTCTTTGTGATGTGTACATTCATCTGACAGAATTAAACCGTTGTTTTGATGAAGCAGTTTTGAAACTCTATTTTTGTACCACCTGCAAGAGGACATTTGGAACGCTTTGAGGTCTATGGTGGAAAAGCAAATATCTTCACACAAAATCTAGACAGAGGCAATCTGAAAAACTACTTTGTGATGTGTGCATTCATCCCACAGAGATAAACTTTTCTTTTCATTGAGAAGTTTTGAAAGTCTATTTTTCTAGAATCTGCAAGTGGACATTTGGAGCGATTTGAGGCCTATGGTGGAAAAGGAAATATCTTAACAGAAAAACTAGACAGTAGAATTCCAAGAAACTTCTTTGTGATGTGTGCGTTAATCTCACAGGATTGAACCTTTCTTTTCATTGAGCAGTTTGGAAACACTCTTTTTGTAGAATCTGCAAGTGGACATTTGGAGCGCTTTGTGGCCTATGGTAGAAAAGGAAATATCTTCACATAAAAAACTATACAGAAGCATTCTGAGAAACTTCTTTGTGATGTGTATGTTCATCTCACAGAGTTGAAACTTTCTTTGGATTGAGCAGTTTGGAAACACTGTTTTTGTAGAATCTGCAGGTGAGCATTTGGAGCACTTGGTGGCCTATGGTAGAAAAGGAAATACCTTCACATAAAATCTAGACAGAAGCAATCTGAGAAACTTCTTTGTGATGTGTGCATTCATCTCACAGAGTTAACCCTTTGTTTGACTGAGCAGTTTTGAAACTCTCTTTTTGTAGAATCTTCATGTGGACATTTGGAGCGCTTTGAGACCTGTGGTGGAAAAGGAAATATCTTCACATAAACCTAGATGGAAACATTCTGAGAAACTTCTTCGTGATGGGTGCATTCATCTCACAGAGTTGAAACTTTCTTTTGATGGACCAGTTTTGAAATACTCTTTTTGTAGAATCTGCAAGTGGACATTTCGACAGCCATGAGGCCTATGGTGGAGAATGAAATGTCTTCACATAAAAATTAGACAGAAGAATTCCGAGAAACTTCTTTGTGATGTGTGCCTTCATCTCACAGAGTTGAAACGTTCTTTTGATTGAGTAGTTTGGAAACACTCTTTTTGTAGAATCCGCAAGTGGACTTTCGGAATGCTTTATGGCCTATAGTAGAAAAGGAAATATCTTCACATAAAATCTAGGCAGAAGCAATCTGAGAAACTTCTTTGTGATGTGTGCATTCATCTCACAGAGTTAAAGCTGTCTTTTGATTGAGCAGTTTTGAAACTCTCTTTTTGTACAATCTGCAAGTGGACATTTGGAGCACTTTGAGGCCTATGGTGGAAAAGGAAATATCTTCACACAAAAACGAGGCAGAATAATTCTGAGAAACTTCTTCGTGATTTGTGCTTACATCCCACAGAGTTGAACCTTTATTTTGACTCAGCAGTTTGGAAACACTCTTTTTGTAGAATCTGGAAGTGGATATTTGGAGTGCTTTGCAGACTATGGTAGAAAAGGAAATATCTTCACATAAAATCTAGACAGAAACAATCTGAGAAACTACTTTGTGATGTGTGCATTCATCTCACAGAGTTAAAGTTTTGTTTGAGCAGTTTTGAAATCTCTTTTTGTAGAATCTTCAAGTGGACATTTGGAGCGTTTTGAGGCCTATGGTGGAAAAGGAAATATCTTCACATAAAAGCCAGACAGAAGAATTCTGAGAAACTTCTTTGTGATGTGTGCATTCATCTCACAGGATTGAACCTTTCTTTTCATTGAGCAGTTTTGAAACACTCTTTTTGTAGAATCTGCAAGTGGACATTTGAAGCGCTTTGCTTCCTCTGGTAGAAAAGAAAATATCTTCACCTTAAATGTAGACATAAGCAATCTGAGAAACTTCTTTGTGATGTGTGCATGCATCTCACAAAATTAATCGTATGTTTGCTTAAGCAGTTTTGAATCTCTCTTTTTGTAGATTCTGCAAGTGGACATTTGGAACACTTTGAAGCCTATGGTAGAAACCGAGATATGTTCATATAAAAACTAGACAAAAGAATTCTGAGAATCTACATTGTGATGTGTACGTTCTTCTCACAGAGCTGAACCTTTCTTTTCATTGAGCAGTTTGGAAACACTCTTTTTGCAGAATCTGCAAGTGGGCATTAGGTGCGCTTTGCAGTCTTCAGTAGAAAAGGAAATATCTTAACATAAAATCTAGACAGAAGCAATCTGAGAAACTTCTTTGTGATGTCAGCATTCATCTCACAGAGTTAAAACTTTCTTTTGATTGAGCATTTATGAAACTCTTTTTTTAAAATCTACAAGTGGACATTTGGAGCTCTTTGAGGAATATGGTGGTAAAGGAAATGTCTTCACATAGAAACTAGGCAGAAGAATTCCGAGAAACTTCTTTGTGATGTGTGCGTTCATCTCAAAGAGTTGAAACTTTCTTTTGATTGAACAGTTTGGAAACACTCTTTTTGTAGAATCTGCAAGTGGATATTTGGAAAGCTTTGTGGCCTATGGTAGAAAAGGAAATATCTTCACATAAAATCTAGACAGAAGCAATCTGAGAAACTGCTTTGTGATGTGTGCATTCATCTCACAGGCTGAAACCCTTCTTTTGATAGAATAGTTTTGAAACTCTCTTTTTGTAGAATCTGCAAGTGGACATTTGGAGCGCTTTGAGGCCTATGGTGGAAAAGGAAATATCTTCACATAAAAACTAGAGAGAAGAATTCTGAGAAACTGCTTGTTGATGTGTGCGTTCATCTCACAGATTTGAACCGTTCTTTTGATAGAGCAGTTTGGAATCAATGTTTTTGTAGAATCTGCAAATGGACATTTGGAGCACTTTGCGGTCTATGGTAGAAAAGGTAATATCTTCACATAAAATCTAGACAAAAGCAATCTGAGAAACTTCTTCGTGATGTGTGCGTTCATCTTACAGAGTTAAAACTTTCTGTTGATTGAGCAGTATTGAAACTCTCTTTTTGTAGAATCTGCAAGTGGACATTTGGAGCGCTTTGTGGCTGATGCTGGAAAAGGAAATATCCTCACATAAAAACTAGACAGAAGAATTCTGAGAAACTTCTTTGTGATGTGTGCATTCATCTCACAGAGTTGAACCTTCCTTTTTATTGAGCAGTTTGGACACACTCTTTTTGTAGAATCTACAAGTAGAAATTTGGAGAGATTTGCAACTTATGGTAGAAAAGAAAATATCTTCACATAAAATCTAGACAGAAGCAATCTGAGAAACTTCTTTGTGTTGTGTGCATTCATTCACAGAGTTTAACCTTTGTTTTGGTTGAGCAGTTTTTAAAGTCTCTTTTTGTAGAATCTGCAAGTGGACATTTGGAGCTCTTTAACGCCTATTGTGGAAAAGGAAATATCTTCACATAAAAACTAGACAGAAGAATTATGAGAAACTTCTTTGTGATGTGTGCGTTATTCTCACAGAGTTGAACCTTTCTTTTGATTGAGCAATTTTTAAACGCTCTTTTTGTAGTATCTGCAAGTGGACATTTGTAGCACCTTGTGGCCTATGGTAAAAAAGGAAATATCTTCACATAAAATCTATACAGAAGCGATCTGAGAAACTTCTTTGTGATGTGTGCGTTCATCTTACAGAGTTGAACTTTTCTTTTGATTGAACACTTTGGAAACTGTCTTTTTGTAGAATCTGCAAATGGACATTTGGAGTGCTTTCTGGCCTATGGTATAAAAGGAAATATCTTCACATGAAATCTAGACAAAAGCAATCTGAGAAATTTCTTTGGGATGTGTGCATCCATCTCACAGAGTTGAACTTTTCTTTTGATAGAGCAGTTCTGAAACTCTCTTTTTGCAGAATCTGAAAGTGGATATTTGGAGCACTTTGAGGCCTATGGTGGAAAAGGTAATATCTTCAAATAGAAACTACACAGAAGAATTCTGACAAATTACTCTGTGATGTGTGCGTTCATCTCACAGAGTTGAACTTTCTTTCGATTGAGCAGGTTGGAAACATTCTTTTTGTAGAATCTGCATGTGGACATTTGCAGAGTTTTGACTCCTATGGTGGAAAAGGAAATATCTTCACATAAAAACTAGACAGAGGAATTCTGAGAAACTTCTTTGTGTTGTGTGTGTTCATCTCACAGAATTGAAATTTTCTTTTGATTGAGCAGTTTGGAAACACTCTTTTTGTAGAATCTGCAAGTGGATATTTGGAGCGCTTTGCAGCCTATTGTAGAAAAGGAAATACCTTCACATAAAATCCAGACAGAAGCAATCTGAGAAACTTCTTTGTGATGTGTGCGTTCATCTCAGAGTTAACACTTTCTTTTGATTGTGCAGTTTTGAAACTCTCTTTTTGTAGAATCTGCAAGTGGACATTTGGAGCTTTTTGAGGCCTTTGGTGGAAAAGGACATATCTTCACATAAAAACTAGACAGAATAATTCTAAGAAACTTTTTTTGATGTGTTATGCCTTTCTCACAAAGATGAACCTTTCATTTGAATCAGCAGTTTGGAAACACTCTTTTTGTAGAATCTACAAATGGACATTTGGATCGCTTTGTGGCCTATTGTAGAAAAGGAAGTATCTTCACTTAAAATCTAGACAAAAGCAATCTCAGAAAATTCTTTGTGATGTGTGCATTCATCTCAAAGAGTTAAACCTTTATTTTCATTGAGTAGTTTTGAAACTCTCTTTTGTAGAATCTGCAAGTGGACATTTAGAGTGCTTTGAGGCCTGTAGTGCAAAAGGAAATATCTTCACATAAAAACTACGCAGAAACATTCTGAGAAACTTCTTTGTGATGTGTGCATTCATCTCTCAGAGTTGAATCTTTCTTTTGGTGGAACAGTTTTGAAATACTCTTTTTGTAGAATCTGCAAGTGGACATTGTGAGCACCTTTAGGCCTAAGGTGGAAAAGGAAGTATCTTCATATAAAAACTAGACAGAAGAATTCTGACAAACTTCTTTGTGATGATTGTGTTCATCTCACAGAGTTGAACATTTCTTTTGATGAAGCAGTTTGGAAACACTCTTTTTGTAGTATCTGCAAGTGGACATTTGGAATGCTTTGTGGCCTATGGTAGAAAAGGAAATATCATCACATAAAATCTAGACAGAAGCAATCTGAAAGACTTCTTTGTTATGTGTGCATTCATCTCCCAGATTTGAACCATTCTTTTGATGGACCAGTTAGGAAATACACTTTTTGTAGGATATGCAAGTGTACATTTGTAGCGCTTTAAGGCCTATGGTGGAAAAGGAAATATCTTCATATAAAAACTAGTCAGAAGAATTCTGAGACACTTCTTTGTGATGCGTGCATTCAGCTCACAGGGTTGAACCTATCTTATGACTGAGCAGTGTTGAAACACTCTCTTTCTAGAATCTGCAAGTGGATATTTGGAGTGCTTTGAGGCCTACTGTGGGAAAGGAAATATCTTCACATAAAAACTACACAGAAACATTCTGAGAAACTTCTTTGTGATGTGTGGATTAATCTCACAGTGTTCAACATTTATTTTGATTGAGCAGTTTTGAAACACTGTTTTTGTAGAATCTGCAAGTGGATATATGGAGCCCTTGGAGGCCTACGGTGGAAAAGCATATATGTTCACATAAAAACTGCACAGAAGCATATTGAGAAATTTCTTTGTGATGTGTGCATTCATCTCACAGAGTTGAACCTTTCTTTTCATTGAGCAGTTTTGAAACACTCTTTTTGT
Source organism: Homo sapiens (assembly GCF_000001405.40). NCBI lineage: Eukaryota > Metazoa > Chordata > Mammalia > Primates > Hominidae > Homo > Homo sapiens. The sequence continues at coordinate 7,221,442 of NC_000021.9, read as the reverse complement.
AGTATCTGCAAGTGGATATTTGGAGCACTTTGAGGCCTATTGTGGAAAAGGAAATATGTTCACATAAAAACTACAGAGAAGCATTCTGAGACACATCTTTGTGATGTTTGCATTCAACTCACAGAGTTGAACCTATCTTTTGATTAAGCAGTTTTGCATCTCTTTTTTTGTAGAATCTGCAAGTGGATAATTGGAGCCCTATGCCACCTACGAAGGAAAAGGAAATACCTTCAAATAAGAACTACACAGAGGTATTCTGAGAAACTTCTTTGTGATGTTTGTTTTCGTCTCACAGAGTTGAACCTATCTTATGATTAAGCAGTTTTGAAACACTCTCTTTGTAGAATCTGCAAGTGGATACTTGGAGTGCTTTGAGGCCTACTATGGCAAAGAAATAGCTTCACATAAAAACTACACAGAAGCATTCTGAGAAACTTCTTTGTGATGTATGCATTCATCACACGAAATTCCAACTTTCTTTTGATTCAGCAGTTTTCAAACACTGTTCTTGTAGAATCTGCAAGTCAGTATTTGCAGGGTTTTGAGGCTCACTGCGGAAAAGCAAGTATCTTCACATAAAAACTACACAGAAGCATTCTGAAAAACTTCTTTGTGATGTGTGCATTCATCTCACAGGGTTGAACCTATCTTATGATTGAGCAGTTTTGAAACACTCTCTTTCTAGTATCTGCAAGTGGATATTTGGAGTGCTTTGAGGCTTATTGTGGAAAAGGAAATATCTTCACATAAATACTATACAGAAGCATTCTGAGAAACTTATTATTGATGTGTGTATTCAACTCAGAGTGTTGAACCTCTCTTTTCATTGAGCAGTTTTGAATCTGTCTTTTTGTAGAATCTGCAAGTGGACATTTGGAGCCCTTTCTGACATATGGAGGAAAAGGAAATATCTTCCAATAAAAACTACACAGAAGCATTCTCAGAAACTTCTGTGTGACGTGTACATTCATCTCAGAGAGTTGAACCTTTCTTTTGATTGAGCAGTTTTTAAACACTCTTTTTTTAGAAATTGCAAGTAGATATTTGGAGCGCTTTGAGACCTATTATGGTAAAGGAAATATCTTCCAATAAAAACTACACAGAAGCATTCTGAGAAACTTCTTTGCGATGTGTGCATTCAACACACAGAGTTGAACCCGTCTTCTGATTGAGCAGTTTTGAATCTCACTTTTTGTAGAATGTGCAAGTGGATATTTGGAGCCCTTTGCGGCATATGGTAGAAAAGGAAATATCTTCACATAACAACTACTCAGAAGTATTCTGATAAACTTCTTTGTGATGAGTGCATTCAACTCATAGAGTTGAACATATCTTTTTATTGAGCAGTTTTGAATCTCTCTTTTGTAGAATCTTCAAGTGGATATTTGGAGCTCTTTAAGACCTACGTTGGAAAAGGAAATATCTTCAAATATAAACTACGCAGAATCATTCTGAGAAAATTCTTTGTGATGTATGCATTCATCTCACAGAATTGAACCTTTCTTTTGATTGAACAGTTTTGAAACACTCTTTTTGTAGAATCTACACTTGGATACTTGAGCGCTTTGAGGCCTATAGTGGAAAAGGAAACATCTTCACATAAAAACTACACAGAAGGATTCTGAGAAACATCTTTGTGATGTGTGCATTCAACTCACATTGTTGAACTAATCTTTTGATTGAGCAGTTTTGAATCTCTCTTTTTGTAGAATCAGCAATTGGATATTTGGAGCCCTTTGCATCCTATGGAGGAAAAGGAAATATCTTCACATGAAAACTACACAGAAGCATTCTGAGAAACTTCTTTGTGATGCGTGCATTCATCTCACAGAGTTGAACCTAACGTATATTTCAGCAGTTCTAAAACACTGTTTTTGTAGAATCTGCAAGGGGATATTTGGAGCGCTTTGAGGCCTACTGTGGAAAATCAAATATCTTCACATAAAAACTATACAGAATCATTCTGAGAAACTTCGTTGTGCTGTATGCATTCATCTCACAGAGTTGAACCTATCTTATGATTGAGCAGTTTTGAAAAACTCTCTTTGTAAAATCTGCAAGTGTATACTTGGAGAGCTTGGAGGCCTATTGTGGCAAAGAAATGTCTTCACATAGAAATTACACAGAAGCATTCACAGAAACTTCTTTGTGATGTGTGCATTCATCTCAGAGAGTTGAAACTTTCTTTTGATTGAGCACTTTTGAAACCCTGTTTTTGTAGTATCTGCAATGGAAATTTGGAGCGCTTTGAGTCCTACTGTGGAAAAGCAAATATCTTTACATAAAAACTACACAGAAGCATTCTGAGATACTTCTTTGTGATGTCTGCATTCATCTCACAGAGTTGAAACTTTATTTTGATTGAGCAGTTTTGAAACACTCTTTTTGTATAATATGAAAGTAGATATTTGCAGTGTTTTGAGTCCTATTGTTGAAAAGGAAATATCTTAACAAAAAAAATACACAGAAGCTTCCTGAGAAACTACTTTGTGATGTGTGCATTCAACTCACAGAGTTGAACCTATCTTTTGATTGTGAAGTTTTTAATCTCTCTTCTTGTAGAATCTGGAAGTGGATATTTGGAGCCCTTTGTGGCCTATGGAGGTAAAGGAAATATCTTCAAATAAAAACTACACAGAAGCATTCTGAGAAACTTATTTGTGATGTGTGCATTCATCTCACACAGATGAATCTATCTTATTATTGAGCAGTTTTGAAACACTCTCTTTGCAGAAACTTCAGGTGGATATTTTGAGCGCGTTGTGACTTATTGTGTAAAAGGAAATATCTTCACATAAAAACTACTAGAAGCATTCTGAGAAACTACTTTGTGATGTGGGTATTCATTGAGCAGAGTTGAACCTTCCTTTTGATTGAGCAGTTTTGAAACACTGTTTGTATAGAATCTGTATAGGCCGCTTTGAGGTCAACTGTGGAAAAGCAAATATCTTCATGTAAAAACTACATAGACGCATTCTGAGAAACTTCTTTGTGATGTGTGCATTCATCCCACAGAGTTGAAAGTTTGTTTTGATTGAGCAGTTTTGAATCTCTCTTTTTGTAGAGTCTGCAACTGGATATTTGGAGCCCTTTTAGACCTATTATGGAAAAGGACATATCTTTACATAAAAACTACACAGAAGCATTCAAAGAAACTCGTTTGTGATGTGTGCATTCAAATCACTGAGTTGAACCTATCTTTTGATTGAGCAGTTTTGAATTTCTCTTTTTGTATAATCTGCAAGTGGATATTTGAAGCTCTTTGCGGCCTACAGAGGAAAAGGAAATATCTTCAAATAAATACTACACAGAAGAATTCTAAGAAACTTCTCTGTGATGTGTGCATTCATCTCATAGATTTGAACCTATCTTATGATTGAGCAGTTTTGAAACACTCTCTTTGTAGAATCTGAAAGTTGATAATTGGAGGGCTTTCAGGCCTGTTTTGGAAAAGGAAATATCTTCACATAAAAACTACACAGAAGAATTCTGTGAAACTTCTTTGTGATGTGTGCATTCATCTCACAGAGTTGCACCTTTCTTTTGATTGTGCACTTTTGAAACACTTTTTTTGTAGAATCTGCAAGTGGATATTTGGAGCCCTTTGTGGCCTACATTGGAAAAGGAAATATCTCCAAATAGAAACTACGCAGAAGCATTTTGAGAAACTTCTGTGTGAAGTGTGCATTCATCTCACAGAGTTGAACTTTCGTTTTGATTGAGAAGTTTTGAAAACTCTTTTTGTAGAATCTGCAAGTGGATATTTGGAGTGCTTTGAGGCCTATTGTGGAAAATGAAATATCTTCACATAAAAACTACACAGAAGCATTCTGAGAAACTTCTTTGTGATGTGTGCATTCAACTCGCAGACTTGAACCTATCTTTTGATTGAGCAGCTTTGAATCTCTGTTTTTCTAGAATCTGCAAGTGGATATTTGGAGCACTTTGTGGCCTATGGACGATAAGGAAATATCTTCTAGTAAACACTACAGAGACGCATACTGAGAAACTTCTTCGTGATGTGTGCCTTCATATCACAGAGTTGAACCTATCTTATGATTGAGCAGATTTGAAACATTCGCTTTGTAGAATCTGCAAGTGGATATTTGGAGTGCTTTGAGGCCTCCGGTGGAAAGGCAAATGTCTTCACATTAAAATTATATGGAAGTATTCTGAGAAACTTCTTCATGATGTGTGCATTCATCTCACAGAGTTGATACTTTCCTTTGATTGGACAGTTTTGAAACACTGTTTTCGTAAAACCTACAAGTGGATATTGGAGCACTTTGAGGCCTACTATGGAAAAGCAAATATCTTCACATAAAAACTACACAGAAGCATTCTGAGTAATTTCTTTGTGATGTGTGCATTCATCTAAAAGAGTTGAAATTTCCGTTGAATGAGCAGTTTTGCAACCCTCTTTTTGTAGAATCTGCAAGTGGATATTTGGAAAGCTTTGAGGTCTATTGTGGAAAACGAAATATCTACACATAAAAACTACACAGAAGCATTCTGAGAAACTACTTTGTGATGTGTGCATTAGACTCACAGAGGTGAACTTATCTTTTGATTGAGCAGTTTTGAATCTCTCTTTTTGTAGAAGCTGCAAGTGGATATTTGGAGCCCTTTGCAGCCCATGGAGGAAAAGGAAATACCTTCAATTAAAAACTACACAGAAGCATTCTGAGAAACTTCTTTGTGATGCGTGCATTCATCTCACAGAGTTGAACCTTTCTTTTGATTCAGCAGTTTTGAAACACTGTTTTTATTGAATCTGCAAGTGGATATTTGGAGTGCTTTGAGGCCATCTGTGGAAAAGCAAGTATCTTCGGATAAAAACTACACAGAATCCTTCTGATAAATATCTTTGTGATGTGTGCATTCATCTCGCAGAGTTGAACCTATCTTATGATTGATCAGTTCTGAAACATTCTTTTTGTAGAATCTGAAAGTGGATAATTGGAGCACTTTCAAGCCTATTGTGGAAAAGGAAATATCTTAACATAAAAACTACACAGAAGCATTCTGAGAAACTTCTTTGGGATGTGTGCATTCATCTCACAGAATTGAACCTATCTTATGATTTAGCTGTTTTGAAACACTCTCTTTGTAGAATCTGCAAGTGGGTATTTGGAGCGTTTTGAGGCTTTTTGTGGAAAAGGATATATCTTCACATAAAAACTACACAGAAGCATACTGAGAAACTTCTTTGTGATGAGTGCATTCGTCTCACAGATTTCAACATACCTTCTGATTGAGCAGTTTTGAATCTCTCTTTCTGTAAAATCTGCAAGTGGATATTTTGAGCCCTTTGTGGCCTATGGTGGAAAAGGAAATATCTTCACATAAAAACTTCACAGAAGCATTCTGAGAAACATCTTTGTGATGAGTGCATTCATCAAACAGAGTTGAACACTTCTTTTGATTGAGCAGTTTCGAAACAGTCTTGTTGAAGAATCTGCAAGTGCATATTTGGAGCACTTTGGGGTCTACTTTGGAAAAGCAAATATCTTCACATAAAAAATACACAGAAGCCTTCTGAGAAACTTCTTAGTGATGTGGGCATTCATCTCACAGAGTTGAACTTTTCTTTTGACAGTGCAGTTTTGAAAAACTCTTTTTGTAGAATCTGCAAGTGGATATATGGAGCGCTTTGATGCCATTGTGGAAAAGGAAATATCTTCACATAAAAACTATGCAAAAGCATTCTGAGAAAGTTCTTTGTGATGTGTGCATTCATCTTATGGAGTTGAACCTATCCTTTGATTGAGCAGTTTTGAATCTCTCTGTTTCTAGAATCTGCAAGTGGATATCTGGAGCCCTTTGCAGCCTAGCGTGGAAAAGGAAATATCTTCAAATAAAAACTACACAGAAGCATTCTGAGAAACTTGTTTGTGATGTATGCATTCATTTCATAGAATTTATCCTATCTTATGACCGAGCAGTTTTGAAACACTCTTTTTGTTGAATCTGCAAGTGGATATTTGGAGCACTTTGAAGCCCATTGTGTAAAGGGAAATATCTTCACATAAAAACTACACAGAAGCATTCTGAGAAACTTCTTTGTGATGTGTGCATTCATCTCACAGAGTTGAACCTATCTTATGATTTAGCAGTTTGGAAACACTCTCTTTGTAGAATCTGCAATTGGATATTTGGAGTATTTTGAGGCCTACTGTGGAAAAGCAAATATCTTCACATAAAAACTACAAAGAAGCATTCTGAGAATCTTCTTTTCGATGTGTGCATTCATCTCACAGAGTTGAACCTTTCTTTTGATTGAGCAGTTTTGCAACACACTTTTTGTAGAATCTGCAAGTGGATATGTGGAGGCCTTTGAGGTCTCCTGTGTAAAAGGAAATATCTTCACATAAGAACTACACAGAAGCATTCTGAGAAACGTATTTGTGATGTGTGCATTCAACTCACAGAGTTGAACCTGTTTTTTGATTGAGGAGTTTTGAATTTCTCTTTTTGCAGAATCTGCAAGTGGATATTTGGAGCCCTTTGCTGCCTATTTTGGAAAAGGAAATATCTTCAAATAAAAACTACACAGAAACATTCTGAGAAACATCTTTGTTATGTCAGCATTCATCTCACAGAGTTGAACCTATCTTATGATTGAGCAGTTTTGAAACTCTGTTTTTGTAGAATCAGCACATGGATATTTTGAGCGCTTTGTGGCCTATTGTGGAAAAGGAAATATCTTCACATAAAAATTACACAGAAGCATTCTGAGAAACTCCTTTGTGATGTGTACATTCATCTCAAATAGTTGAACATTTCTTTCAATTTAGCAGTTATGAAACACTGTTTTTGTAGAATCTGCAAGTGGATATTTTGAGCGCTTGGAGGTCTACTGTGGAAAAACAAGTATCTTCATATAAAAACTACACAGAAGCATTCTGAGAAACTGCTTTGTGATGTGTGAATTCATCTCACAGAATTGAACCTTTCTTTTGATTGAGCAGCTTTGGAACATTCTTTTTGTAGAATCTGCAAGTGGATATTTGCGGTGCTTTGAGGACTATTTAGGAAAAGAAAATATCTTCACATAAAAACTACACAGAAGCATTCTGAGAAACTTCTAGGCGATGTTTGCATTCATCTCACAGAGTTGAACCTTTCTTTTGACTGAGCAGTTTGGAAACACTCTTTTTGTAGAATCTGCTAGTGGATATTTAGAGAGTTTGGGTCCTATGGTGGAAAAGGAAATATCTTCCAAAGAAAACTACACAGAAGCATTCTGAGGAAATTCTTTGTGCTGTGTGCATTCAACTAGGAGAGTTGAACCTATCTTTTGATTGTGCAGTTTTCAATCTCTCTTATTGTAGAATCTGCAAGTGGATATTTGGAGCCCTTTGCAGCCTGTGGTGGAAAAGGAAATAATTTCACATAAAAACTGCACAGAAGAATTCTGAGAAACTTCTTTGTGATGAGTGCATTCATTTCACAGAGTTGAACGTTTATTTTGATTGAGCTGTTTTGAAACACTGCTTTTGAAGAATCTGCAAGTGGATATTTGGAGCGGTTTGAGGGCTACTGTGGAAAAGCAATATCTTCACATGAAAACTACACAGAAGCATTCTGAGAAACTTCTTTGTGATGTGTGCATTCATCTCACAGAGTTGAGCCTTTCTTTTGATGGAGCAGTTTTGAATCTCTCTTTTTGTAGAATCTGCAGGTGGATATTTTGAGCCCTTTGCAGCCTATGCAGTAAAAGGAAACATCTAAAAATAAAAACAACACAGATGCATTCTGAGAAACTTCTTTGTTATTTGTGCATTCATCTCACTGTGTGGAACCTATCTTATGATTGAGCAGTTTTGAAACACTCTCTTTGTAGAATCTGCAAGTGGATATTTGGAGCACTTTGAGGTTTATTGTGGAAAAGGAAATATCTTCATATAAAAACTACACAGAAGCATTCTCAGAAACTTCTTTGTGATGTGTGCATTCATCTCACAGAGTTGAACTTTTGTTTGATTGAGCACTTTTGAAACACTATTTTTGTAGAATCTGCAACTGGATATTTGGAGTGCTTTGAGGCCTACTGCGGAAAAGCAAATATCTTCAAATAAAAACTACACAGAGGCATTCTGAGAAACTTCTTTGTGATGGGCGCATTCATCTCAAAGAGTTGAACCTTTCCTTTGATTGAGAAGTTTTGAAACACTCTTTTTGTGTATCTACAAGTGGATATTTGGAGCTCTTTGAGGCCTATTGTGGAAAAGTAAATATCTTCACATAAAAAATACACAGAAGCATTCTGAGAAACTACTTTGTGATGTGTGCATTCAACTCACAAGGTTGAACCTATCTTTTGATTGAGCAGTTTTGAATCTCTCTGTTTGTAGAATCTGCAAGTGGATATATGTAGCCCTTCGCAGCCTATAGAGGAAAAGGAAATATCTTCCAATAAAAACTGCACAGAAGCTTTCTGACAGAAGCATTCTGAGACACATCTTTAAGATATGTGCATTCAACTCACGTAGTTAAATCTATCTTTTGATTGAGCAGTTTTGAATCTCTCTTTTTGAAGAATCTACAAGTGGATATTTGGAGCCCTTTACAGCATAAGGTGGAAAAGGAAATATCTTCAAGTAAAAACTACATAGAAGCATTCTGAGAAACTTCTTTTTGATGTGTGCATTCATCTTACAGAGTTGAACCTATCTTATGATTGAGCACTTTTGAAACAATCTTTTTATAAAATCTGCAAGTGGAAATTTGGAGCACTTTGAGGACTATTGTGGAAAAGCATGTATCTTCACATAAAAACTGCACAGAAGCATTCTGAGAAACTTCTTTGTGATGAGTGCATTAATCACACAGAGCTGAACCTATCTTTTGATTGAGCAGTTTTGAATCTCTCTTTTTGTAGAATCTGCAAGTGGATATTAGGAGCCCTTTGTGGCCTCTTGTGATAAAGGAAATATCTTCCCAAAAAAACTACACAGAAGCATTCTGAGAAACTACTTTGTGATGAGTCCATTCACCACACAGAGTTGAAAATTTCTTTGACTGAACAGTTATGAAACACACTTTTTGTAGAGTCTGCAAGTGGATATCTGGAGGGCTTTGAGGCCTATTTTGGAACAGGAATTATCTTCCCATAAAAACTACACAGAAGCATTCTGAGAAACTTCTTTGTGATGTGTGCCTTCATCTCACAGAGATGAACCTAGTTTTTCATTAAGCGGTTTTGAAACACTGTTTTTGCGAGTCTATAAGTTGATATTTGGAGCACTTTGAGGCCGACAGTGGAAAAGTAAATATCTTCACATAAAAACTACACATAAACAATCTAAGAAACTTCTTTGTGATGTGGGCATTCACCTCACAGAGTTGAAACTTTCTTTTGATTGAGCAGTTTTAAAACACTATTTTTGTAGAATCTGCAAGTGGATATTTTTAGTGCTTTGAGGCGTATTGTGTAAAAGGAAATATCTTCACATAAAAACTACACAGAAGTATTCTGAGAAACTTCATTGTTATGTGTGCATTTAACTCACAGTTTTGAATCTATCTTTTGATTGAGCACTTTTGAATCTCTCTTTTTGTAGAATCTGAAAGTGGATACTTGGAGACCTTGGCGGCCTATGGTGGAAAAGGAAACATCTTCACATAAAAACTACACAGAAGCATTCTGAGAAACTTCTTTGTGATGTGTACTTTTATCTCACAGAGCTGAACTTTCCTTTTGATTCAGCAGTTTGGACACACTCTTTTTGTATAATCTTCAACTGGATATTTGGAGCCCTTTGAGGCCTATCGTGTAAAGGGAAACATCTTCACATAAAAACTACACAGAACCATTCTGAGAAACTTCCTTGTGATGTGTGCATTCATCTCACAGGGTTGAACCTTTCTTTTCATTGAACAGTTTGGAAACACACTTTTTGTAGAATCTTCAGGTGGATAATTTGATCACTTTGAGGCCTATGTTGGAAAAGGAAATACCTTCACATAAAAACTACACAGAAGCATTTTCAGAAACTTTTTTCTGATGTGTGCATTCAACTCACAGGGTTGAACCTATCTCTTGATTGAGCAGTTTTGAAACTCTCTTTTTGTAGAATCTGGAAGTGGATATTTGGAGTTGTGAAAAAGGAAATATCTTCACATAAAAACTACACAGAAGCATTCACAGAAACTACTTTGTGATGAGTGCATACATCACAAAGAGTTGAAATTTTCCTTCGATTGAGCAGCTTTGAAACACTCTTTTGTAGAATCCGGAAGTGTATATTTACAGGACTTTGAGGCCTATTTGAGAAAGGAAATATCTTTACATAAAAACTACACAGAAGCATTCTGGGAAACTTCTTTGTGATGTGTGCATTCAACTCACATAGTTGAACCTATCTTTTCATTGAGAAGTTTTGAAACTCTCCTTTTGTAAAATCTGCAGGTGGATATTTGGACCACGTAGCAGCCTATGGTGGAAAAGGAAATATCTTCACGTAAAAACTACACAGTAGCATTCTGAGAAACTTCTTTGTGATATGTGCATTCATCACACGGAGTTGAAGCATTCTTTTGATTAAGCAGTTTTGAAATACTCTTTTTGCAGAATCTTCAAGTGGATATTTGGAGCGCCTTGAGGGCTATTCTGGAAAAGGAAATATCTTCACAGAAAAACTACACAGAAGGATTCTGAGAAACTTTTTTGTGATGTGTGCATACATCTCACAGAGTTGAAACTTTCTTTTGATTGAGCAGTTTTAAAACCCTCTTTTTGTAGAATCTTCAAGTGGATATTTGGGGGGCTTTGAGGCCTATTGTGGAAAAGGAAATATCTTCACACAAAAAATACACAGAAGCATTCTGAGAAACTACTTTGTGTTATGTGCATTCATCTCACAGAGTTGAAACTTGCTTTTGATTGAGCAGTTTGGAAACACTCTTTTTGTAGAATCTACAAGTGGATATTTGGTGCGCTTCGAGGCCTACTGTGGAAAAGCATGTATCTTCACATAAAAACTGCACAGAAGCATTCTGAGAAACTTCTTTGTGATGTGTGCATTCAACTCACACAGTTGAACCTATCTTTTGATTGAGCAGTTTTGAATCTCTCTTTTTGTAGAATCTGCAAGTGGATATTAGGAGCCCTTTAAGGTCTTTTGTGGAAAAGGAAGTATCTTCATCAAAAACTACACAGAATCATTCTGAGATACTTTATTTTGACTTGTGCATTCATCTCACAGAGTTGAACCTTTCTTTTGATTCAGCAGTTTTATAACATGCTTTTAGTAGAATATGCAATGGATATTTGGGGTGCTTTGAGGCCTATTGTGGAAAACGAATTATCTTCACATGAAAACTACACAGAAGCATTCTGAGAAACTTCTTTGTGATGTGGGCATTCATCTCAGAGTTGAACTTTTGCTTTGATTGAGCAGTTTTGAAAAACACTTTTTGTAGAATCTGCAAGTAGATATTTGGAGCGCTTTGAGGCCTATTGCGGAAAAGGAACTATCTTCACATAAAAATTACACATAAACATTCTGAGAAACTTCTTTGTGATGTGTGCATTCCACCCACTGAGTTGAACCGTTCTTTTCATTGAGCAGTTTTGTAACAATCTTTTTGTAGAATCTGCAAGTGGATAATTGGAACGCTTTGAGGCCTTTTGTGGAAAAGAAAATATCTACACATAGAAACTACACAGTAGAATTCTGAGAAACTTCTTTGTGATGTGTGCATTCAACTCACAGAGTTGTATCTTTCTTTTCATTGACCAGTTTGGAAACATTCTTTTTGTAGAATCTCCATGTGGATATTTGGAGCCTTTTGCAGCCTACAGTGGAAAAGGAAATATCTTCACATAAAAACTACACAGAAGCATTCAGAGAAACTTCTTTGTGATGTGTGCATTCATCTGACAGAGTTGAAGCATTCTTTTGTTTAAGCAGTTTTGAAATACTCTTTTTGTAGAATCTTCTAGTGGATATTTGGAGCGTTTGACAGCTATTGTGTAAAAGGAAGTATCTTCACATAAAAACTACACAGGAACAGTCTGAGATACTTTTTGTGATGTGTGAATTCATTTCACAGAGGTGAACCTTTCTTTTGATTGTGCAGTTTTGAAATACTCTTTTAGTGCGATCTGCAGGTAGATATTTGCAGCTCTGTAAGGTGTACTGAGGAAAAGGTAATTTCTGCACATAAAAAATACACAGAAGCATTCTTAGAAACTTATTTGTGATGTGTGCATTCAACTCTCGGAGTTGAACCTATCTTTTGATAAGCAGTTTTGAATTTCTCTTTTCTTGGAATCTCCAGGTGGATATTTGGAGCGCTTTGAGGCCTATGGTGTAAAAGGAAATATCTTCACATAAAAACTACACAGAAGCGTTCTGAGAAACTACTTTGTGATGTATGCATTCAACTCACAGAGTCGAACCTACCTTTTGATTAAGCAGTTTTGAATATCTCTTTTTGTAGAACCTGGAAGTGGATATTTAAAGACATTTGCGGCTTGTGGTGGAAAAGGAAATATCTTCACATAAAAACTATGGAGAATCATTCTGTGAAACTTATTTGCATTGTGTTTACTCACCTCATGGAGTTGAAGTTTTCTTTTGATTGAGCAGTTTGGAAACACTCTTTTTGTAGAATCTGCAAGTGAATAGTTGGAGTGCTTTTAGGCCTACGGTTGAAAAGGAAATATCTTCACATAAAAACTACTCGGAAGCATTCTGAGAAACTTCTTTGTGATGTGTGCATTCACCTCACAGGGTTGAAACATTCTTTTGATTGAGCAGTTTTGAAACACTCTTTTTCTAGAATGTGCAAGTGTATATTTGCAGGGCTTTGTTGACTATTGTGGAAAGGGAAGTATGTTCACATAAAAATTACACAGAAGCATTCTGAGAAATTTCTTGTGATGTGTGCATTCACCTCACAAAGTTGAAACTTTCTTTTGATTGAGCATTTTTGAAACACTCTTCTAGTACAATCTGAAAGTGGATATTTGGAGCCCTTTGAGGTCTATTGTGGAAAAGGAAATATCTTCACATAAAAAGTAATCAGAAGCATTCTGAGAAACTTCTTTGTGATGTATGCATTCATCTCACAGAATTGAACCCTTCTTTTCATTAGCACTTTGGAAACTCTCTTTTTGTAGTGACTAGAAGTGGACATTTGGAGCTCTTTGAGGCCTATTGTGGAAAATGAAATATCTTCACATAAAAACTATACAGAAGCATTCTTAGAAAGTTCTTTGTGATGTATGCTTTCAACTCAAAGAATTGAAACTTTTTTTGATTGAGCAGTTTTGAAACACTCTTTTTGTAGAATCTGCAAGTGGATATTAGGGGTGCTTTGAGGCCTATTGTGGAAAAGGAAATATCTTCACATAAAAACTACACAGAATCATTCTGTGAAACTTCTTTGCGAGGTGTTTACTCATCCCACAGAGTTGAAGTTTTCTTTTGAATGAGCAGTTTGGAAACACTCTTTTTGTAGAATCTGCAAGTGGATAGTTGGAGCGATTTGAGGTCTATGGTGTAAAAGGAAATATCTTCACATAAAAACTACACGGAAGCATTCTGAGAAACTTCTTGGTGATGTTGCATTCATCTCACAGAGTAGAACATTTCTTTTGATTGAGCACTTTTGAAACACACTTTTTGTAGAATCTGCAAGTGGATATTTGGAAAGCTTTGAGGACTATTGTGGAAAAGGAAGTATCTTCACAGGAAAAGTACACAGAATCATTCTGGGAAATGTCTTGTGACGTGTGCATTCATCTCACAGAGCGCTTTGAGGCCCATTGTGGAAAAGGAAATATCTTCATATGAAAACTACACAGAAGCATTCTGAGAAACTTCTTTGTGATTTTTGCATTCATCTCACAGTGTTTTACCATTCTTTTGATTGAGCAGTTTGAAAACACTCTTTAGTAGAATCTAAAAGTGGATATTTAGAGCGCTTTGAGGACTATTGTGGAAATTGAAATATCTTCACATAAAAACTACACAGAAGCATTCTGAGAAACTTCTTTGTGATGTGTGCATTCAACTCACAGAGTTGTACCTATCTATTGGTAGAGGATTTTAGAAACTCTCTTTTTGGAGAATCTGCAGGTGAATATTTGGAGCCCTTTGTGGCCTACTGTGTAAAAGGAAATACCTTCACATAAAAACTACACAGAAGAACTCTGAGAAACTTCTTTGTGATGTGCACATTCATCTCACAGAGTTGAACCTTTCTTTAGACTGAACAGTTTGGAAACTCTCTTTTAATAGAATAAGCAAGTGGATATTTGAAACACTTTGAGGCCTACTGTGGAAAAGAAAATATCTTCACATAAAAATGACACAGAAGCATTCTGATAAACTACTTTGTGATGAGTGCATTAATCTCACGAAGTTGAACCTTTCTTTTCTTTGAGCAGTTTGGAAACAATCTTTACAGAATCTGCAGGTGGATATTTGGAGTGCTTTGAGGCAAATTGTGGAAAAGGAAATATCTTCACATAAAAACTGCACATAAGCATTCTGAGAAACTTCTTTATGATGTGTGCATTCAACTCACAGAGTTGAACCTTTCTTTTGATTGAACAGTTTTGAAACACTCTTTTTGTAGAATCTGCAAGTGTATATTTGTAGCCCTTTGAGGCCTACTGTGGAAAAGGAAATATCTTCACATAAAAACTACACAGAAGCATTCTGAGAAACTTCTTTGCTATGCGTGCATTCCCCTCAAAGAGTTGAACCTCTCTTTTGATTGAGCACTTTTGAAACGCCCTTTTTGTAGAATCTGCAAGGGGATATTTGGAGTCCTTTAAGGCCTATTTTGGAAAAGGAAATATCTTCACATAAAAACTACACAAAAGTATTGTGAGAAACTTCTTCATGATGTGTGAATTCGTCTCATAGAGTTGAACCTTTCTTTTCATTGATCAGTTTGGAAACACTCTTTTTGTAACATCTGCAGGTGGATGTTTGGAGCACTTTGTGGTGAATGGTGTAAAAGGAAATATCTTTACAAAAAGTACGCAGAAGCATTCTGAGACACCTCTTTGAGATGTGTGCATTCAAGTCACCGGGTTGAGCCTATCTTTTTATAGAGCAGTTTTGAAACTCTGTCTTTGCAGATTCTGTAAGTGGATATTTGGTGCGTTGTGTGGCCAAGTGTGAAAAAGGAAATATCTTCACATAAAAACCACACAAAATAATTCTGAGAAACTTCTTTGTGTTGTGTGCATTCATCTCACAAAGCTGAACCTTTCTTTTGATTGAGCAGTTTTGAAACACTCGTTTTGTAGAATGTGCAAGTCAATGTTTCGAGCACTTTGAGGCCTATTGTGGAAAAGGAAATATCTTCACATAAAAACTACAAAGAAGCATTGTGAGAAACTACTTTGTGACGTGTGCATTCATCACACAGAGTTGAACCTTTCTTTTTATTGAGCAGTTTGGAAACATTCTTTTTGTAGAATCTCCAAGGGGATATTTTTAGCGCTTTGAGATCTTTGGTGGAAAAGGAAATATCTTCACATAGAAACTACACAGAAGCATTCTGAGAAACTTATTTGGGATGTGTGCATTCATCTCACCGAGTTGAATCTATCCTTTGATTGAGCAGTTTTTAATCACTCTTTTTGTAGAATCTGCAAGTGGATATTTGGAGCACATTTAGACCTATGGTGGAAAAGGAAATATCCTCACATAAAAACTATGAAGAAGCATTCTGAGAAACGTCTTTGTAATGTGTACATTCATCTCACAGAGTTGAACCTTTCTTTTGATTGAGCAGTTTTGAAACCGTCTTTTTGTAGAATCTGCAAGTGGATGTTTAGAGTGCTTTGTGGCCTGTTGTGGAAAAGAAAATATCTTCACATAAAAACTAGACAGAAGCATTCTGAGAAACTTCTTTGTGATGTGTGCATTCATCTCAGAGAGTTGATCCTTTCTTTTGATTGACCAGTTTGGACACACTCTTTTGTAGAATCTGCAAGTGGATATTTGGAGCGCTTTGAGGCCTATGGTGGAAAAGGAAATATCTTCACATAAAAACTACACAGAAGCATTCTCAGAAACTTTTTTGTGATGTCTGCATTAGACTCACACAGCTGAACCTATCTTTTGATTGAGAAGTTTTGATTCTCTCTTTTTGTAAAATCTGCAAGTGGATATTTGCAGACCTTTCTGGCCTATTTTGGAAAAGGAAATATCTTCACATAAAAAATAGAAGCATGCTGAGAAACTTCTTTGTGATGTGTGTGTTCATCTCAAAAAGTTGAACATTTCTTTTGATTGAGCAGTTATTATTATTATTATTATACTTTAAGTTTTAGGGTACATGTGCACATTGTGCAGGTTAGTTACATATGTATACATGTGCCATGCTGGTGTGCTGCACCCACTAACTTGTCATCTAGCATTAGGTATATATCCCAATGCTATCCCTCCCCCCTCCTCCCACCCCACAACAGTCCCCAGAGTGTGATGTTCCCCTTCCTGTGTCCATGTGATCTCATTGTTCAATTCCCACCTATGAGTGAGAATATGCGGTGTTTGGTTTTTTGTTCTTGCGATAGTTTACTGAGAATGATGACTTCCAATTTCATCCATGTCCCTAAAAAGGTTATGAACTCATCACTTTTTATGGCTTCATAGTATTCCATGGTGTATATAGACTGGATTAAGAAGATTGAGCAGTTTTTAAAGCATCTTTTTGTAGTATCTGCAAGGGGATATTTGGAGCGTTTTGGGGCCTATTGTGGAAAAGGAACTATCTTCACATAAAAACTAGACAGAAGCATTCTGAGAAATTTTTGGCGATCTGTGCATTCAACTCACAGATTTGAACCTTTCTTTTGATTGAACAGTTTTGAAACACTCTTTTTGTAGTATCTGTAAATGGATATTTGAAGCGGTTTGAGGTCTATCGTGGAAAAGGAAATATCTTCACATATAAACTAGACAGAAGCATTCTGAGAAACTTCTCTGTGATAAGTGCCTTCATCTCACAGAGTTGAACCTTTCTTTTGATTGAGCAGTTTTGAAACACTCTTTTTGTTGTATATGCAAGTGGGTATTTGGAGCGATTTGTGGTCTCTGGTGGAAAAGGAAATATCTTCACATAAAAACTAGACAGAAGCACTCTGAGAAACTTCTTTGTGATGTGTGCATTCATCTCACAGTGTTGAAACTTTCTTTTGATTGAGGGTTTTGAAACAGTCTTTTTGATGAATCTGCAAGTGGATATTTGGAGCGAATTGTGGCCTATGGTGTAAAAGGAAATATCTTCACATAAAAACTAGACAGAAGCCTTCTGAGAAACTTCTTTGTGATGTGTGCGTTCATCTCACCAGGTTGAATCTTTCCTTTCATCGAGCAGTATTGAAACACCCTTTTTGTAGAATCTGAAAGTAGATATTTGGAGCGATTGTGTCCTATGGTAGTAAAGGCAATATTTTCACAGAAAAACTAGACAGAAGCATTCTGCGAAACTTCCTCATGATGTGTTCATTTATCTCACCAAATTGAACCATTCTTTTCACTGAGCAGATTTGATACACTCTTTTTGTAGAATGTGCAAGTGAATATTTGGAACGCTTTGATGAGTATGATGGAAAAGGAAATACCTTCACATATAAACTAGATAGAAGCATTCTGAGAAACTTTTCTCTGATATGTGCATTCAACTCACAGAGTTGAACCTTTCTTTTGATTCAGCAGTTTTGAAACACGCTTTTTGAAGAATCTATAAGTGGATATTTGGAGTGCTTAGGGGCCGATGGCGGAAAAGGAAATATCTCCACATAAAAACTAGATGGAAGCATTCTGAGAAACTTCTTTGTGATGTGTGCATTCATCAGAGAGAGTTTAACCTTTCTTTTGACTGAGCAGTTTTGAAACTCTCTTTTTGTAGAATCTGCAAGTGGACTTTTGGAGACACTTGAGGCCTATTGTGGAAAATGGAATATCTTCACATAAAAGCTACACAGAAGCATTCTGAGAAACTTCTTTGTGATGTGCACATTCATCTCACAGATTTGAAAATTTCTTTTGATTGAGCAGTTTTGAAATGCTCTTTTTGGAGAATTGGCCAGTGGATATTTGGAGCGCTTTGAGGACTATGGTGGAAAAGGAAATATCTTCACATAAAAACTAGAGGAAACATTCTGAGAAACTTATTTGTGATGTGTGCATTCCTCTCACAGAGTTGAACATTTCTTTTGATTAAGCAGTTTTGAAACACTCTTTTTGTAGAATCTGCTAGAGGATATTTGGAGCACTTTGACGCCTATGGAGGAAAAGGAAATATCTTCACTTAAAAACTAGACAGAAGCATTCTGAGAAACTTCTTTGTGATGTTTGCATTCATCTCACAGAGTTGAAATTTTCTTTTGATTGAGCAATTTTGAGACACTCTTTTTGTAGAATCTGCCTGTGGATAATAGGAGTACTTTGGGGCATATTTTGGAAAAGGAAATACCTTCACATAAATAGTAGACAAAAGCATTCTGAGAAACTTCTTTGTGATGTGTGCATATATATCACAGAGTTGAACCTTTCTTTTCATTTAGCCTTTTGAAACACTCTTTTTGTAGAATCTGCAAGTGGATATTTGGAGTGCTTTGCGGCCTATGGTGGAAAATAAATATCTTCACATAAAAACTAGACAGAAGCAATCTGAGAAACTTCTTTGTGATGTCTGCATTCATCTCACAGAGTTGAACATTTCTTTTGATTGAGCTGTTTTGAAACACTCTTTTTGTATAATCTGCAAGTGGATATTTAGAGCACTTTGAGGCATATGGTGGAAAATGAAACATCTTCACATAAAAACTAGACAGCAGCATTCTGAGAAACTTCTTTGTAATGTGTGCATTCATCTCACAGAACTTAACCTTTCTTTTGATTGAGCAGTTTTGAAACACTCTTTTTGTAGAATCTGCAAATGGATATATGGATCGTTTTGAGGTCTACGGTGCAAAAGGATATATCTTCACATAAAAACTAGACAGAATCTTTCTGAGAAACTTCTTTGTGAGGTGCACATTCATCTTACAGTGGTGAACCTTTCTTTTGATTCAGCAGTTTTCAAACATTCTTTTTGTAGAATTTGCAAGCGGATATTTGGAGCGCTTAGGGGCCTATGGTGGAAAAGGAAATATCTCCACATAAAAACTTGATGGAAGCACTCTGAGAAACTTCTTTGATGTGTGCATTCAACTCACAGAGTAGAATCTTTCTTTTGATTTAGCAGTTTTGAAACACTCTTTTTGTAGAATCTGCAAGTGGATATTTGGAGCCCTTTGTGGCCCACAGTGGAAATGGAAATATCTTCACATAAAAACTAGACAGAAGCATTCTGAGAAAGTTCTTGGTGATGTGTGCATTCATCTCACAGAGTTAAATCTTTCTTTTGATTGCACAGTTTTGACACACTCCTTTGTAGAATCTGCAAGTGGATATTTGGAGTGCTTTAAGGCCTATTGTGGAAAAGGAAATATCATCACATAAAAACTACACAGAAGCATTCTGAGAAATTTCTTTGTGATGTGTGCATTCATCTCACAGAGTGGAACTTTCTTTTGATTGAGTAGTGTTGAAACACTCATTTTGTAGAATCTGCAGGAGGGTATTTGGAGCGCTTTGCTGCATACGGTGTAAAAGGAAGTATCTTCACATAAAAACTAGACGGAAGAATTATGAAAAACTTCTTTGTGATGTGCGCGTTCATGTGACAGAGTTGAACCTTTCTTTTGATTGAGCAGTTTTGAAACACTCTTTTTGTAGTATCTGTAAATGGATATTTGAAGCGGTTTGAGGTCTATGGTGTAAAAGGAAATATCTTCACATATAAACTAGACAGAAGCATTCTGAGAAATTTCTCTGTGATTTGTGCATTCATCTCACAGAGTTGAACCTTTCTTTTGATTGAGCAGTTTTGAAACACTCTTTTTGTAAAATCTGCAAGTGAATATTTGGAGTGCTTTTAGGCCTTTGGTGGAAAAGCAAATATCTTTGCATCAAAACTAGACAGATGCATTTTAAGAAACTTCTTTGTGATGTGTGCATTCATCTCACAGATTTAAACCTTTCCTTTGATTGAACAGTTTTGAAACACTGTTTTTGGTGAATCTGCAAGTGGATATTTGAAGCGCTTAGAGGCCTATGGTGTAAAACAAACCTATTCACATAAAAACTAGACAGAAGCATTCTGAGAAACTTCTCTGTGATGTGTGCACTCATCTCACAGAGTTGAACCTTTCTTTTCGTTGAGTAGTTTTGAAACACTCTTTTTGTAGCATCTGCAAATGTATATTTGGAGAAGTTTGCCTCCTATGGTGGAAAAGGAAATATCTTCACATAAAAACTAGACAGATGCATTCTGAGAAACTTCTTTGTGATGTGTGCATTCATCTCACAGAGGTGAACTTCTAGTGTTTTGGACTCATCCAAGCCTCAACATTAGCTTTAAGAGGTCCTTGATCTTTCCAGCAGGAGAAAAATGAACATGCAAAGCTCTCAGTCTCATTGTTATAATCCTCTCAAGGATCAGTCTCATTAGCAGACAGCAGAGTGTTGATCCCTTGTTTCACCAAACTAACCACTTGGCTGAGAGAAGTTGCTGTTAGTCCTAGGGGAAATTTTCATATCCGTTGCAAGCTCTTCAAGTATTTGTGTATTTTCCCCTTTCAGAAAGTTGTGTTTATCTCAGCATCCCATTGTCATCTCCAAAATTAAATAATTGTGAAGGATCTAAGATTTCATCCTATTTGTAAACAAACCTATTAACCTTCCATTTCCATGGATGCTGGTAGAAGGCATGAGACACTGAAGTATGAAAAAAATACCTACTATTTACTGTCTACCTGGAGGCAAAAGCCTCATATTTGTATTAGTTCTCCTTGTCCATACTACATTTTTTAGAGGGATTTCAAAAGGCTCAGATGGACATTGCACATGGGGAAGATTTGTGTCACAGCTGAGCAGGCTCAAGACTAAGAAACCTTAATCTTCTTAAAGTAGGTTACATGCAAACCTGTCCAAACTTTGCCTCACAGAGAAAAATTGTCTTTATTATATTGATTGAGTAATTTATCTGCCATTCACCTGAAGAGAAAAACTACTACCCTTTTTCCAGGTTATTTGTATACAAAAATCTTTGAAAAATAGCCTGGAACAGGACAGGTGTGTGAGGTAAGACATAACAAAACAACAAACTCTAAGATACTTTTGGAGAACTACATCTCAGTAGCATGCATCTTTTCCATAAAATGTTGCACTAAACAATCCTGTGATGAAAAACATCCATTGAAGATTTTTGACATGAAGACTAACTTTTGTTGTTTTGTGTTGTGGGATTGTTCAAGTGATTATCCTGTGTCAGCCTCCAAAGTAGCTGGAGGACAGTCTCCCACGGCCACACTCAGTTTATTTTTCTATTTTTAGTAGAGGCAGGGTTTTACCGTGTTGGTCAGGCTGGTCTCGAACTCCTGATCTCAGGTAGTCGGCCTGCCTTGGTCTCACAAAGTGCTAGGAATATAGGCATGAGCCACCATGCCCGGCCCCAGAAATGAAAGTTCTATGTGTGCAGTAATGTAATTCTGACTGATAAATGACAGGTGAGGGTAAGTGAAAATCTAACACAATTCAACATTTTTACATATTTAGACACAGTGTAATTGGTTAGCTTATTGGAAAAAGTTAAATGACTACCAATTTGTACTGCATACTTATTCTGAATGAATTGCTAGTCTAGATTTGGAGATGAAATAATTATTTTTACAACACAGAAACATAAAGTGCATTTCCATATACCAACAATGAACAATTTGACAGTAAATTAATAAAACAATTGTTTGCAACAACATTAAAATAATACAATTCTTAGCAATAAATTTAATAAGAAGGTACATATTTTGTACAATAAAAAAACAGGATC